>NC_000004.12:188315320-188618350 GCF_000001405.40 Homo sapiens | reverse complement strand
CTTGATTTTCACACAAATATGGCATGTGTGAGTCATAAAATAATATTGAACCTAAAGTATGTTATTTTTTAAATATCGCATAATATTTTTAAAAATACACTTTCCTTTTAATCCTATACTCTAGGTGACCTCTTCAGCCAAAATGAATGTAGCCAGTTCTAAAGTCAACGCAGCTTTCAAAGTCACATTCCAGAACATCGCTACATGGCCCCAGTGTCCTAGTCATTTTAGGGATATCTGCTAATTGAATATCAATTAGCTGAGAATCAAATAGTTTAATTAGAAATGCGTTTAGGAATTTGGGTCTTATTTCTGCCGACAAATACAGAGCATTAAAGTTTGCAACTTTGCTGCAGAAACCACTGAGTGCATGCTAAGCCTGAGGAGGAGCAGGGAGGGCACATCTTTCTAGATCCTTCAGCATAATTGGCGACACACAAACAGAAGCTTGAGCAGCTGTGAGGACTGTGATAATTCAACCAACCCCCTTGCCTCTTGGGATTGTCCCAGGTCACGTCATCACCACAAGTTAGCTTCCCAAATCATCTTATAGGAAGATGTACTTAACTATTGACAGGTCATGGTACTATACATCTATCATTATTCATGATATTCATTAAAATCCTGTCCTTAGTACACTGTCATCTCGGGCACCACTCTCCCTGGCCTCCCCTCCACTTTAGGGTCTTCACATCACTTGGGAACTGATGACTCCAAATTTTTCTTTTCTATCCTAGCTGCTTCTCTGAGCTTTAAAGGGACATCTCTGTGGGACAAATCTGTGGGATCTGCCAGCACATCCCACAGGCATGACAAGCTCCACATATTCAAAACAGAATTCAGCACCTTCTTTCTACATCAACTCCTTCTCCAGCTTCTCTTTGTCCATTAGGGAAATAATAACCCACTAGTCACCCATGCTGGAAAATGGAGCAATTCTTGGCTCTTTCTCTTAGCCTCCATATCCAATAATTCACCAGTCTCAATGTTTCTTAAATTGGACCTTCCATTGACTGGGTGCAGTGGCTCACGCCTGTAATCCCAGCACTTTGGGAGGCCGAGGCGGGCAGATCACGAGGTCAGGAGATCAAGACCATCCTGGCTAACAAGGTGAAACCCCATCTCTACTAAAAATACAAAAATTAGCCAGGCATGGTGGTGGGCGCCTGTAGTCCCAGCTACTCGGGAGGCTGAGGCAGGAGAATGGCATGAACCCCGGGAGGTGGAGCTTGCAGTGAGCCGAGATCGTGCCACTGCACTCCAGCCTGGGTGACAGAGCAAGACTCCATCTCAAAAAAAAAACAAAAAAACAAAAAAAACAAAAAAAAAAAACTGGACCTTCCATCTTAATCTTCTTCATTTATTAAGTTCATGTTTACCGAATGCCTAATATGTGCTAGCACTCCTAAAGCTGAGTTTTGAGTTTGATTTGGCCAAGAAAACAAAGCAAAATCCTGCCTTTCTCAAGCTTAATTCTAGTTGGGGAAGACAGAAAATAAACAATGATTATAATACATTGGCTATCAGAAGCTGGTACCCAGGATAGAGTAAGATAAATGGAACAGGATAAGGAGGATTAGGAATGTAGAGGAGATTAAAACTTTAAATGGAGTCTGGGCATGATGGTGGGCACCTGTAGCCCCAGGCAATTGGGAGGCTAAGACAGGAGAATCACTTGTGCTCAGAAGTTTGAAACTGGCATAAGCCTTGATCACACCACTACACTTCAGCCTGGGTGAAGGGGAGAAATCCTGTCTCAAAACAAACAACAAAAAGCAAAAAACAAAAAAAAATCCCAAGCTTTAAATGGGCTTGTCAGTGTAGGCCTCACTGATGAAGTCATAACTGAGTAAAGACTTAAAGAATGTATGAGCTAGCCATGAATAAATGGGAGAAGAGTGTCCCAGAAAGAGGAGGACCAAGTCAGGGTGGGTGTGTGGTTGGAGGAACAACAAGGAGACCAGTGAGGCTGGAGATCTTGGCCTTAGGAGTGACCATCCTTCTTACTTAACTTCCAAATAGCCTCCCTCTCTACATTCTTACCAGCCATCAGGGTTATCTCTCTCCAACTACGATTATCATGATTCTCCCCTTTTTAGACCTCTCAATGGCTACCCATAGACAACAAGAAGCAAACCCTTAACTGGTGTATAAAGGTTTCCATCATCTGCTTTATGTTTTCTATAGGTCAGTCTCATTCTTCCTCCCATCTACTTTATGTCCAACAATACCAAACTCTTTGTAGCTTCATAAATACTAGTTTTTTGCCCCTATAGCTTGATGTTGTGCCTTCTATGCAGAATACCTATCCCTCTTCCATTTGGCTAAATATAATTACTATACTTCATCATTAACAATCCCTAATACAGATTAAATTCACTGAACCCCCTTTTTCTACCTATGCATATCTTCAACATTGCTCTTATTAACTGTTATAACTATTGAGAGGTGAAGCTGGCTGGGCTTCTGGGTCAGGTGGGGACTTGGAGAAATTTTCTGTCTAGCTAAAGGATTGTAAACGCACCAGTCAGCACTCTGTGTCTAGCTAAAGGTTTGTAAATGCACCAATCAGCACTCTGTAAAAATGGACCAATCAGCACTCTGTAAAATGGACCAATCAGCACTCTGTAAAATGGACCAATCAGCAGGACGTGGGCAGTGCCAAATAAGGGAATAAAAGCTGGCCACCCAGCCAACCCGCTGGTGTCCCTTTCCATGCTGTGGAGGCTTTCTTCTTTGGCTCTTCACAATAAATCTTGGTGCTGCTTGCTCTTTGGGTCTGCACTACCTTTATGAGCTATAACACTCATTGTGAAGGTCTGTGGCTTCATTCCTGAAGTCAGCAAGACCACGAACCCGTTGGGAGGAACAAACAACTCCAGACAAAAGCTGTAACACTCCCCAGGAAGTTCTGTGGCTTCACTCCTGAAGTCAAGCGAGATCACAAACCCACCAGAAGGAAGAAACTCTGGACACATCTGAAGGAACAAACTCCGGACGCACCATCTTTAACAACTGTTAACACTCACCTCGAGGGTCCATGGCTTCATTCTTGAAGTGAGTGAGACCAAGAACCCACTGGAAGAAACCAATTCCGGACACACCATGTTATAAATGTATGCCATAGGTATATGTCATAAACATATGTCTGTATGAAAGTCTTTTATCAGGACCTGTCTAAGCTTCTGAATTACAAAAATTGTGTACCTTGGCTATAGTAGATGACCAGTAAATATTGTAGATGAATGATTATTATCATGTCTAACTGCCTGTAAAACAAAATAGTGATATCCCAGGTGGACTTTAAGATGAACTTTTTTCCTATTGTTGCAAGATAAAATTACAGTTGTTTTCTGGCTGCCATAGGACTCAACCTTTTAGTCTCATTTAGCTGTCAAAATGTGTGTGCATGTAAAACCACCTGTTTAACCATTTTTTACTAAAATTCTAAGCATAAGGCGTGCATTCCTTTTTAAGGGCACATGTGGTTATTCTTTTTTTAAGTTTAGTAAAAGCGCAGGTTTGTTACATAGGTAAACTTGTTTTGTGGGGGTTTGGTGTACAGATTACTTCATCACCCAAGTTTTAAGCCTAGTACTCATTAGTAGTTGTTCTTGATCCTCTCCCTCCTCCGACCCTCCACCCTCCAAAAGGCCCCAGTGTGTGTTGCTCCCCTCTGTGTGTCCATGTGTTCTCATCATTAGCTCCCACTTATAAGTGAGTACATGCGGTGTTTGGTTTTCTGTTCTTGTGTTAGTTTGTTAAGGATAATGGTCTGCAGCTCCATCCATATTCCTACAAAGCACGGGATCTTTTTCTATGACTGCATAGTATTCCATGGTGTGTATGTACCACAGTTTGTTTATCCAGTCTACCATTGATGAGCATTTAGGTTGATTCCATGTCTTTGCGGTTGTGAACAGTGCTGCAATGAACATACATATGCATGTGTCTCTATAATAGAATGATTTATCTTCCTTCGTATATATCCCCAGTAATGGGATTGCTGGGTCAAATGGTATTACTGTATTTAGGTCTTTGAGGAATCACCACACTGTCTTCTACAATGGCTGAACTAATTTACACTCTCACTCCCAGTGTATAAACATTCTTTTTTCTCTACAATCTTGCCAGCTCTGTTATTTTTTAACTTTTTAGTAATAGCCATTCTGACTGGTGTGAGGTAGTGTCTCATTGTGGTTTTGAGTTGCATTTCTGTAATGATCAGTGATGTTGACCTTTTTTTTGTGGGATTGTTGGTTGCATGTGTGTCTTCTTTTGAAAAGTGTCTGTTCATGTCCTTAGCCTACTTTTTTATGGGTTTTGTTTCTTGTAAATTTAAGTTCCTTATGATGCTGGATATTCAACCTTTGTCAGAAAGCACACATTCTTTACATTTAAAGAGGTCACTGCTTAATAAAAATACATTGTATTTAAATATATGGTGTATATACTTCCCATTTATCAATAACCTCTTTTACATTTGTGAAACCCTTTCCAACATACCTTCCAGAAGCTGACTGATAATCCTGTCTTCCTTGTTTCCACAAACACATGGTGCTGGTTCCAGCCCCTGCACCACTATGCTAATGCTCTCCTCTTCTCTTTCTTGGTGCATCAGCTTCTTTTTTCTCTATCTTAAGATTTATCTCTAAATGTTATCCCTCTTATAAACATAACGGAAGCTCTGCTGCTTCACTGAACCCCCTTTGCTACTCACATCCTAATGAGGTCTCTCTCTCCACTTTTGTGTTTCTATTCTTCTTTCACAAAACACAATTTTGGGGTCACTGTTTGGATTTCCTATTTATCTTGTGTTTTGGCTTCATCTTCTGATTTTAAGATACAAGAAAGCAGAAATTATGTGTTATTTTCCATATGGTCATCAGAGTGAATATTTGCTGCAGAACTTGGAGTGCCTAATACTAGAATGAGATAAAGAGTTTTGCTAGTTATTTGCGTTTGGAGATGGTTAAAGCATAAACAGTCATTGTCCCAAGCCAATCTGGAATTCACCTCTGTATAAGAAGAGTAATGGGCAAAATAATTCATTGAAGACAATTCTAGTTTCAAGATTCTTACGTCAAGCTTCAAAAGGAAAGTAAATGAATATATCTTAATGAGAGCAAAAATCAATGGAAGAAAATGGCCCTGTGATTTTGTCTATCGTAGGAAGACAGCTTTATTTCCTTTCTATTTTTTTCTTTTTGTTTAGCAACTCTAAGTTCCAGTTAATCTCTTCTAATTGCAGTTGCTTAGTAGTGATTAATGATGATGCCAACCAAGGGGCAAAGTCAGGATTTCACCTCAATTTGAAGGGTTTATATTTCAGTTCTCTCTTTTCTTTCTCTCCTGACCTTTTCTGTGGAAGGTAGAATATTCTGTGTACCCAGATGTGCCATAATTTCTTTGTTGAATACCAGAGTCCTTACATTAACAATATGTAGAAATACAATAAATCAGAGGGATATTGCAGCATATTTTCCCCAAGAGGAACATTATTATGTGCAATAAACATGTAGAGAAGGACCCGTGGAGCTGGAACCCAATGAGCTGGTTTTCAACTGCCTGGGTCTGAAGAGCTAGTTCCTCTTTTAACTATCGTATTAGAAAAAGCTATGAAGAGAACAGTGGAAAACACTGTTCTACCAAGTGGACATTGCTGACAATTACTTCATTTTGCAGGAGAAAAGCCCTACAACCTGATTTTCTCAGATAGTAAGTTTGTATTTTATGCCCCTTTATCATTTTCTAATCTTTGTAAAGTGAATTGATCTTAATGGCTATATGTGCTTATAAGTTGATTAATTTATCTTGAAGTGACTTTAAGACATCATGTTGTCTTTTATTGGTTTTAAGTCGACTACAACAAACCCCTCTCAATAAGTCAGCTCTATTCACTTAATCTTTTATAGATCTGAATGTCACCCATAGAATTAGTGTTAGCATTAAGCGGTCTCCCACACACTGTGTTTTGTAGCCTGGTCATTCCTCTGCACAATATGATTGCCTTCACACAAATACTAAATGCTTGAAAATTTACCAAGGGAAGTGGTGTGGTCCCAAGATCGAGCATACACGCTCTGGCACGAGCGCTTGGGTTACGTTCCTAGTTTCATTGTTGTTCACTTTCTCTTTGCCTTGCTTTTCCCACCTGTGAAGGGCAATAAGCATACTTATTCCTGAGGGTTAAACACTAAATAAAACAATATATGTACCTACTTATCACTATACCACTATACCTGGTCAATAATAAATGCTTTAAAATTTGCTACTGTTACTATGATAAAATATTCATTGTTTAAAAAATTTAAGTTGTTTTAGAGGCGGGATCTCACTGTGTTGCCAAGCTGGAGTGCAGCGCCATGATCCTAGCACATTGCCTTCCAGGCCTGCACTCAGCCAATCCTCCCTCCTCGGTCTCCCATGTAGCTGGGACCACAGGTGCCGACCACCACCCATGGCTCTCGAATATTCACCAGCTTCACTTACTGTATCTGTACCCTGTACTTAGTGACCATGTAGCTGGGACCACAGGTGCGGACCACCACCCACGGCTCTCAAATATTCACCAGCTTCACTTACTGTATCTGTACCCTGTACTTAGTGAGAATAAAGCCTCAGATATTCACACCAACATGTTATTTTCCTATTCCATGAAATCACATTGAATTACTTTTGTAAACTGTAAAGTGCTCTGTGAAAAAAACTTTAAATGTAATTAGCATTTGAAAGGGCAATATGAGGACAGAAATGGTTTTGACACAAGGAAACCGTAGAAAAAGATGGAAGGCAAATTCAACTCCAGCATCCTTTTTCCAGTTCCCTCCTTTATAATGTAGATTATATTTAGAGAATATAATCTAAATTCATCTCTTTGTGGTTATCCAGTGAGAAAAGGTCCATGAGAGATTTCTCACCAAACAGGCTGAACTGAACAAATCCGGGCCAGTCAGCCCTTCACAGAGGGCAAAGGACACTGCTGCCCTGGGCACAGGCTTGGCCAAGTATGTGCACATCCTGACCAGCATGCGAAGCCTAAGGGAACATGCACGGCCCTGACCCTATGCCACACATGCCAGACCTGATGTTCACAACAGTTCTAGGTGCCCAGCTCCACTGTAAACAAATCCCAGCAGCTGTAGAGTGATTTGCAGAGGGCATAATCTGGGTGGGAAAAAGCTTGAGGGGCTTGGATGTATTTAAATTTTAAGTCTTAATGTATATATTACCTCATTTGTGTCTTTAGTGTGGAAAAATTTAGTTACTGATGTTTAGTTTTGTTTCTGGTTTTGCCCCAGTATCTCTTTTTTGTAGAATATTGTGAACTGCTGGAGAAAAATAATTAATGCCATAATCATTTCTTTTTTCTCAATACCTTGCCCACATCCTGGCACAAAATAGCTGCTCAATCATTTTTCAGTTACAAATAAATACAAGAAATTTTGCAAAAGATTGTCTTTGGCATTTCTTCCAAAGGTATATATGGAGTGACTTCAAAATGTGGTCAAAGCTCAGATTTCACCGAGAGAAATCCTTAGCAACTTTCTGCTGTACCATGGTAAGGATGAAGAGGGGGACTGACAAAACAGCATGCTCGTTGTGAACCCTCTAGCATTTCTGTCTCATTCTGAGTGATTCTGAGAAGATTCAAGAGGTTATCTTAAGACACCATTATTATCTTCCTTTCCAATCAGAAGATCTTTAGACTTTACCAATATTATAAACCCAGAGAAAGGTAATTATTCTATGAAGCACTATTCAAATATTTTTTTATTCATGATAAAACATTTAATATCATGCTATTTTCTAGGGACTTCGTTTTGTTATTTGTCTGTGAGTGCCACATATTAAATACTCTAAGCTAACATACTTTTAAACTGTATAACAACATACATATAATAAAATTATATTGATTCAAACATTGTAATGCATAGTCAGAAAACTCTTATAGTTAGGCACAATAATAGATTTAACTGTATTTTTAGTTCCTTAAACAAAATGAATCATAATGATTTAATATTTATGCACAAAAATTGCATTCTGTGCAGGTTATATGTATATAGACAAATGATCTCTTATTGAGACTGAGTCATCTCAAGAGGAAAATTCACTGTAATTTTGGTATGAGTGGCACTATGCAAACTGTATTCTGATATATTATTCATTGATAATAAAGCTGAATAAAACTTCCTTTTGTGATGTAGAAATGCTCCCTAAGTATATTTTGCTGTATGCAAACACAAAGAGACAGGTGTCCAGCTGATTATTGCATATGGCTGTCATTCTAAGAGCTGCTCATATAAGCTATTTACGCTTTTGGGTGTGGATCATGTCTGCCTTGGAACATACGGTCATCCTTAGAGTCTGTTCAGCATCTCTACAAATGGAAATTATTCTTTGATAATTTAAATTATTTGAATTATAATTGTATCAAAAGATATCATGACCAAATATGAGTACATATGTATCCCAGGAAGCCTTTAATTAAAAAAGAGAAGACAGTAGGTTGAGAGCCAGGCAAGAAATAATTACAAAAGAGACAGATATTTGATATTTGGTTTCCTAGTTCACCTCAAACTCAAAAATTTCTTAATGTTTTAGGAGATTTATAAAAATCAAATGTTCCTTATTTCCCTACTACAAAAACTTTACTTTTCTGACAGTAGATGAAAAGAAAAAAAAATTGGCCTGGGATCCAGTTTATATTTTACTATGGATTTGAGTCATATTTAATTTATTTTCTACTCTGCCCAATTTATCCCTGAAATTTGGCACATGCATTCAACGAGCATTAAATACCCCTCTTCCATCTGAGCTCAGCTTTTCCTTCCCTCCTTCCTTTTTTTCTCGCTCTCTCTTCCTTTCTTCATGTTTTCTTCTCCTTACATTCATTTCTTTCTTCCTTCTCCCACCCCTTCAATCCTTTCCTTTCTTTTTCTATATCTTCTTGCGTTTTTTTTTATGCCTTATATTCTTTGCAGTCCATCAACTGTTTTCAACCCTCGAGCTAGGAACCACAGCTTAATCACAACTTAAAGCTATCACTTTGTACCCCTCATTCAACAACTTCCCATGCCCTCCCTCCCTCCCCCTGCTGCACGACAGAACAACTCTAGTCAGTACTATACTGTATATTTCAAGATGACTAAAAGAGTACATTTCAAACGTCTCGCCATAAAAAATGATCGGTAAACGAGATGATGGATATGTTAATTAGCTCAATTTAATCATTTCACATTGTTATATATCAAAATATCACATTGTACCCCATAAACATATAAAATTATGATTTGTCAATAAAAATAATACTAATTTAAAAAACGCAAAACACAAAAGCTCTCACTTGACACATTCCTAGCCCCAGTGCAAAGACTTTTGCTGAGGCGGAAGTTCTGTTAGTCATCTGCCGAGGCAATATTGTCAAAACTTCCAGATCGTAAAAATGACCTCGGGATCTAGCTGACACACAGATAGCCAGAACCAAGGGAAAATGTATTTTAACAAACTCCCTAGATGATTCTTACGAGGAAAGTGCTAGAAAAGACTAATCTAGATCCACCCCTCAGTCGATGCAGGATTTTTCTTCTTGCCATTCTGACCTGCCGTCATACAATACCAGCTTCAGCACACCTATAAATATTTCTTTTAGGAGAAAGCCTATTCCATTTTGGACCGCTCTAATTATAGGGGAAACAAAAGTCTTCTTATGTTGTTCTTAACACCATTTCCTATTTTGCAGACTACAGTTTTATCATGGGCACATACCGCTATCATTAAAAAACTAGACTAATTGTAGAGGAAATCAAAAGCACTGTAATACACATGATTTGACAGGAACAGGGCTTTGCTAGCAGGGAAGCAATGAAAATGGGATCAAGTCTTCCCAGCAAAGGAAATTAATCAACAGGAGTCTGACAATTACAGGCTTATTTTTAGAGACAGGTGATATGTGTTGAAGGTTATTAAGATGTAACCTCTTATTCATCTAGAACCCTAAATTTTTCTCCTTGAGAAAAAATCTTTAGGAAAGCTACAAAATGTTGTTACCTCTGACAGGTGAGTTCCCAGAGAGTAATGCTATTATCACATGATTTTAATCAGAAAACTTCAGTTTAAATTTCGATTAAGACAGTAATCCTGCCACCTTGAGTAAATGATGGAACTTCTCTTAGAATTAGTTTTTCGTGTGTGATATATAATAAGGCAATTCTGACATACTTAGTTGTAATAAGGATAGAAGGTGCTATGAGGATGAAAAATTATAAACTTCGTTCAGTAAGTATGTGAGCGTTGTCAAGCAATGTCACTAAACTGGCTATAAGATGTGTCTCTGGTATAATTCTAGTACTGATTAATTGAAGAGAAAAAAGAGCATAACAAGTCCATTGGCATGCAGCACGCATGTGTCTAAACTTACCTATCTCTAGAAGTCACACCTCGTGTTTTTAAAATATCGTTCTACTCTCAACAGAATTTTTTTATCCTTATTAGGTTTCACGTATTTATTGGTGTGGGAGAATAGAAACAAGAAAACCAGGGTGAGAAAAGACTGAGACTTCAAACCGAATTCAGTCATCACTTCTCTATATTGGCCAAGCAAGACAATGGAACAATAGATTAAAGTGTTATGAATGTAAAAGACAATATAGGAAGCTGCATGAATTATTGAGGCTCCTGAAGTCATCTTACATCTGTCTGCCCAAAGAAAATGCATTCGGGAGAATTGCCTTATTGCACTTTGTGTGTGTCATTATACTAAAAAAGTCAATTTTTAAAGGAGACAAATTACATGTTCATTTTTCTCTTTATACACAATATATCAATGTACGTATTCAGGAGGATACTTCAGTGTTGGATTTTTTAATAGGAAAAAACAGAGCCTCCCCCACCCCTGCCCCGGCCAACAAATTAAACCCTGGTTCTGACATTAGCTAGCTCTTTATTCTTGATAAAGACACAGATAAAGTCAATGATCACTGAAAGATGCATCTAGCTTCAACCTTGATTTGTACACGCATTTTTATTTAAAGAAAATGTTTTAAAATAGAGACAAACAACTTGAGCACTGAAGTAAAACTGAGGAAGGACACAAAAATAAACATGGAGTCGTATTTTGAGTTCATTATGTCAAGTATTCCTCTCAGAGAACAATGGCAGGTAAAAAACAGATTAGATAAGATTTCTGATATAACATTAGGACAAGTGATGTCAAAATTTTAAAAAAATTATTTACTTACTGTTGTTCCTGATAAAATATTTTTATCATAAACCTAATATTAGCATTTCTCATTTAGTAAAACAAAGGCAAATTTGATTGCGGTTTGAATCTCTTTTAGTTTTTAAAATACTTCTAATATGTGTAAAAAAGAAGTTTAACCCTAAATTATGTATCTCATTTTAAACACGTTATTTAACATTGCTGAGGGCTGCAAAAATATGAAGAGATTAGAATCAATTTTCTGAGCACCTTCCGTATCCAGGGTACCAGAGAAGAAAGAAGAGGTGTTCAAAGTTCAATGTATTGCTTATTGAACAAATACTGAATGAATTCCTCACACATGCCAGGGAAGGCTGATCTATAGCAGCATTGTTATATAAGTGCTGTAAAGGAGATAAACATGTACTATGGAAAAAAATCAGATTAATTCCAGCTATGAATCTCTGTAAAGGTTTAGGTAGGATGCAACCGAAGAAAGCATTCATGAACTAAATCTGAACAACTCTATAAAATCATATAAATGAGCATATAAATGATGCTGAGCATATAAATGATGAAAATTAATGATTTCAGGGGAATATACAGCCATGTTTCCCATAACAATGTTTCAGTGATGAACCTCATATGTAATAGAGGTTTCATAAAATTATAATAGATATGTTTAGATACACAAATATTTACACTGTGTTAAATTGCCTGCAGTATTCAGCACAGTAACCTGCTGTCAGTGACATTCTGTACAGGCTCATTGCCTAAGCAGTAGGCTATGCCATACAGCCCAGATGTGTAGTAGGCTATACCATCTAGGTTTGGGTAAGGGTACCCTATGGTGTTCCCACAGAGAAAAAACCTCCTAACAGTGCATAAACTGTACGTACATTGGAGATGTTTTTCTGTATTTAATTTCAGAATCTATATGAATGACATGATTGAAAATTTCCAAATAAACTAGTTTACTAGACAGTCATCGCATCAATATTTTGTATGTTTCAAAACAATTTCAGCTGTTTGCTTAGGATGTTTAATGTAAGTAAAATTTTTCTGGGGAAAAACATTTTTCTGAATAAGAGGCAAACTTCTTATTTATAAAATTAATATTTTTATATTGACTGGGTTGGCTTTTCTTTCTTTGTAAAAAATTTCCGTGAATATTTTTATAAACTTATAAATATCAGATTTTACTGAGATATGTTTTTCTGAACAAGCAAAATGGTATAATTAACATTTGAGCAATGATTTTGATTCCATTCCTCAATTGTGAAGTCAGTGCACAACACATTTGTCTCTAAATTTTGTGAGAATCATCTGGATCGAAAAATGTTGGAAGATTTGTATTTATAATTAACTTGTTATTCAAAAATTTAATTTCATGAAGTGACCTAATAATATCTTTATTTTTATTCAGCTTTTGTTCATAATAATAATACAGTCATTATCATATACAAATCATTGACAGAGATAAAACTTCATTTTTAGTTTTTTGTCACTAGACAGATACGTTTTCATTTCTGAGCTCTCTTGAGTATATTCTAGTACTACCAATCCATAAAAATTTCATAATTTTGCTGATTCAATAGTATACCTCTGGTATAAAAATTAGATGGGATACTTCTCATTTGTATTTTAATATATCATCTCTCGAGTTGTTTGTATCAATTTCTTTTCTTGAATTTCCAAAGCAGTCTCCTGTAACATTTTACTGCTTAAAACCCCCATTTCTTTGTTCTTGACTTCAAGCTTTGTATAACTCAAGTGTGACAACTCTAGATCCCAAAACTTATCTCTGAAAGGATTTATATGTTAGCAATTTTAAATTTTAATTTCTTCATGAACATTTATTGAGCACTTACTATATGCAGTGTACTTTTAACATCTTTCATCTCATTGTACTTCTCAGAAAATGATAGTCACACATCTTCTTAAATGTTTAAATTATTGTTGCTCAAATGACACGTCATAAAGAATTAATGGAAAGTACAATGAGATGAAAAGCATAATGAGTACAAAGAGAAGAGTAATGTTTGATGCTTGCCATTTTGAAATTCGCTAGAGGCAGTCTGTCACTGTGCTCATCATTTTCCCTTCTAAAGTGTCTCTTGAATTTACCCTTTCTTCTCGAGTCTGGCTACTGAGGCTGAAGCTCAGACTTTCACCCTTCATGCCTGGAATGTTACAGCAGCTCTTTAACTGATAAATCTGTCTCTACCCATTCCTTCTGGAATCCATCTTTCACTGCGATAAGCTTTCTAAATCACTCATATTGTCATGCCACCCTTCTGCATACCACACCCTATTTTCTTCTGCATAAAGATCAAACTCTCTCTCCCAGCCTTAATGGTCACTTATAATTTTGTGCCGTTCTACTGGTGAAGCTTCATTTTCTAATTTTTCTCAGTCTACATACACTACCTCTGTCAGATTTGACAACTCACTTCATTCCCAACTGCATTAGTCAAGGTTCTCCAGAGAATCTATCTATCTATCTATCTATCTATCTATCTATCTATCTATCTATCATCTATCTGTCTATCATCTATCATCTGTCTATCATCTATCATCTGTCTATCATCTATCATCTGTCTATCTAATCTATCGGTATGTGTGTATACATATGCACACACTCATTAACATGGGCATTCGTTCACATGCTCATGGAAGCTGAGAAGACCCACCATCTGCCCTCTGTGAGCTGGAGACCCAAGAAAGCCTGTGGTGTAATTCTGCCTGAGTCCAAAAGTAGGAGGGCTGATCATGTAAATCCCAGTCTGAGCCAGAGCCTGGGTGGGGAAGTGGGGGATGTGTTGGTGTACATCCTGGAGTTGGAAGATCCGAGAACCAAGAGCTCTGATCTCCAAAGGCAGAAGATGGAAGTCCCAGCTGAAGGGAAGAGAGAATTCATCCTGTCTCTGCCTTTTTGGTCTATTTGGACCCTTAATGGATGGGATGATGCCTGCCCACATTGGTGAGGGCAAATCTTTACTTGATCTGCTGATTCAAAGGCTATCCTCTTCCAGAATCACCCCAGCAAACTCACCCAGAAACGATGCTTTATCTGCTCTCTGTGTATCCCTTAACCCAGTTAAGTTGACACAGAATTAACCACCATAGCAAGACCCACTGTCTCTCGCCAAGCTCCTGCTTTGTAATTTGCTTCTTTGGAATGCTTCCCCTTCCCTGTAGCTATCCAACCACTAACCCATCCTGTAAAGCCAACACTGAACCTCACTTACTCTAACGGTTCCAGCACATCCCAATGTTCTTTCCTTCTCTGAATTCCAGTAACATTTATCATCAGAATCTCATGGCTTGTGACTCAATTGCTCCTGAAAAAGGCACTGGAATCAAACACAGACACACTGGGTTCACAGTTCAAAGACACACATTGTTCACGGTTGAGCCTTCAGACTGTTTCTGCCTCCCTTGTCCTCTGGTATGGCAGTCACCACAGCCTCCCAGTGACGGATGATGGTTCCTTCTTCTCCCTTACTCTGGAAGCCTGTGGGAGGCACCCTACTGGTGTTAGCTTCCCATGCCCAGTGCCCCCAAATCACTGCTGACACATAGCAGTCTCTTGATACGTGTTTGAAGATTGAATGTCTGCCATGAATTCTGATCTAGGGCTGCCTTATCTGTAAAATAGAATGAAGCCCTGCCCTGCTTAGTTCACAAGATCATTTTGAGTAGGAAGAAAAGGAGGGGAAGTGCTTTGTAGTTGTAAGCACTATAGAAATATGATATACTATATGATATTGTGTATATAATGATGCTTTCCTAACTACTCTCTTTGAGGCTAGAAACTGTCTTATTTTGACACCAATGTGCACACTTGACTACTAATATTCTGTTGGCTGATGTCATACTTTTAGTAAAATTTATGCAAATTTGTTAATTAATTATAATTAATATAATATTAAGATCATTCCTTTCTATACTGTTAGTATATGTAAGTGTCTCCTACACGTCATAGTGCTTAAAACAACAAAATCACTGACATTCCAACTCTGAACAACCTGAGTGTTTCCATGAATTATATTTGTATATGTTATATCCTCTGCACATAAAACTGAAAAAAGATACAATTTAAAACAAAATCATTAAGACAATCACCTCCTAGGATAGAAAACAGAGCCAGGGAACTCTTGTTTGGCATTAGGAGGAATCTCTACTTTGAAAATAGAAAGAGTTAGAAGAACTGGATTTTGATCTCAGTTCTACAGACATACTGGCTAGATGGTGGTGAGCAAATTACTCATGTTCACAGAACTTCACTTTCTTTCCAGGAAAAATATAAATTTCAATATAATTCTTGCTCTCATGTTGATATCACAGATTAATGTAAATAAAAGGAGAAAATATATGTTGATATGTTAATGAATGCAAGTTTTCAAAAAATTTAAGTATCTGAATCTCACACTATATACTAATATATCAACAACACTATTAAATAAAATATTTTTATAATGTGACTATACAAAAATACTGACTACATGAAAAACTTTGGGATGGAATACACATATGTTTAGGGTTATGTTTCTGAGTACTTTTGGTGAAATGAGTTGATTTGAGTAAATGACACATACAAACCATTTTTACAAATCAGAATGCCTTGGACACAAGGATGTTTTCCTTTTTCTTGATTATATTTCTAAGTGGATTTAGCAGATTAGCTAATAGCAATTTATTTCTGCCTTGTGTGAAAAGATAGGTGTTAGGTGTGAAGAAGCCAATGAAAAGTAATTGTCAGCTTTTTTTTTTTAGACAGTTTCACTCTTTGTTGCCCAGGCTGGAGTGCAGTGGCGTGATCTTGGCTCACTGCAACCTCTGCCTCCCGGGTTCAAGCGATTCTCCTGCCTCAGCCTCCCGAGTAGCTGGGATTACAGGCATGCACCACCACGCCTGGCTAATTTTGTATTTTTAATGGAGACGGGGTTTCTCCGTGTTGGTCAGGCTGGTCTCGAACTCCCAATCTCAGGTGATCCACCCGCCTCAGCCTCCCAAAGTGCTGGGATTACAGGCGTGAGCCACCGTGCCCAGCCAGTAATTGTCAACTTTTGAAGGAACAACTTTAACAGAAAGTAATGACTCTAAAGCAAGTCCTGCTATAAAGAATAATAGAGAAAGTGAGTGAAACATGACAAAAACCCCAAAACAACAAAAAAGTATATGTCCACAGTGTAGACATGAAGTGGAGGTGCTGAAATTAGCACATCAAACCTTATCATTAACTTTTGTCAAAACGAAAGACTTTAATTTTGGAGGTGAGGTGGGGTAGGCAATTCCTTCAAGGTGTGGTCCAGCAGGAGCAACATCATGTCTTTAGCATTGCATCCAATGTTGGGAAGGACACGGGTGTTCTGAGTCACTGTAATAAAGGAGGAGTAGTTGATATCACATTTTTCTTAACACAGCTGAGTATTATGCTACTTTTGTTTTTATAAGTTTCTAATGTTAAGTGCCTAATTGAATTACACAATACAGGTTGATAAACATGGATTAAGATAGACTAGATTTAATTCCTCTGGATTGCTGAGAAGGAATCTATCATCATCATCATGGCCAGGCATGGTGGCTCGCATCTGCAATCTCAGCACTTTGGGAGGCTGAGGTGGGTAGATCACGAGGTCAGGAGTTTGAAACTAGCCTGGCCAACATGGTGAAACCCCGTCTCTACTAAAAATACAAAAATTAGCCGGGCATGGTGGCGGGCGCCTGTAATCCCAGCTACTCGGGAGGCTGAGGCAGGAGAACAGCTTGAAACCAGAAGGTAGAGGTTGCAGTGAGCCGAGATTGTGCCACTGCACTCCAGCCTGGGCAAAAGAGCGAAACTCTGTCACAAAAAATAAATAAGTAAATAAACAAATAAAAATAATCATCCTCATGAGGGCCCTTCTGAATCATTAAAAATAGAATGTATTTATCCAGTAGGGTCTGAATTCTATGTATTATTTACTTTGCAAAATTTGGCAACCCATGCCATATTTCACTTTGTGTACCAAAGACATAAAGTAGAAAATAACATAGTGTATATTTGGGAAAAAAGGGAAAAGACCGATCCTGATCTTTGCATTTAGCTGGATTTTCATTCATATCTAGTTTAGACCTTTCCATGGCAAGAAATCTTATTGCCATTGATTATCCTACTGTCTCTTTTTCATTTTCCTCCAATTAATGTGAGCATCCAAGACCCTTCTACCCATTAGTTTTTCAACAACCTACTTGGGCCCATTTTGCTTTGCATTCATTTATATGGTGCTACGATGTGAATGTGCCTCCTCCAAAGTTTATCAGTTGGAAACATAATTGCCATTACGACAGTATTAAGAGGTGAGGCCTTTAGGATGTGATTAGGATGTGCATACCTCGTTTTATTGCATTTTGCTTTATTGAGCTTTTGAGATAATTCATTTTTTAGAAATTGAAAGTGGTGGCACCCCTGCATTAAGTAAATATATCAGTACCGCTTTTCCAACAGCATGTGCTTAATCTGTCTCTGGGTCACATGTTGCTAATTCTTGCAATATTTCAGACTTTTTATTTTATATCTGTTGTGGTGATCTGTGATGAGTGATCTTTGATGTTACTATTGCAATTGTTCTGGGGCACCATGAATTGTGCTCATATAAGACACTGAACTTATTAAGTGTTGTATGTGTACTGACGGCTTCATCAAACAACTATTTAACTATTTCCCCATCTCTGTCCTTCTCCTCAGGCCTTCCTACTACCTAAGACACAACAATATTGAAATTAGACCAATTAATAACCTTACAATGGCCTCTAACTTTTCAAGTGACTAAGTGTTTTTAGTCTAGAAATGATTAAGCTTAGTGAGGAAGGCATGATAAGGGCTGAGATAGGCTGAAAGCTAGGCCTCTTATGTCAAGCAGTTAGCTAAACTGTGACTGTAAACAAAAAGCTTCTGATGGAAATCTTTTCCAATGAGTACACAAATGATAAGAAAGCAAAACAGCCTTATTGCTGATATGGAGAAAGTTTGAGTGGTCGTGAAAGAAAACCAAACCAGCTACAATATTCCCTTAAACCAAATCCTAATTCAGCACAAGGCACTACTCTTTTCAATTCTGCGAAGGCTGAGAGAGGTGAAGAAGCTGAAGAAGAAAGGTTGAAAGCTAGCAGAGGATGGTTCATGCAGTTTAAGGAAAGACACCGTCTCCATAACATAAAAGTGCAAAGTGCAGTAGCAGTGTCGATGGAGAAACTGCAACAAGTTATCCAGAAGGTCTAACTAAGATAATTAATGAAGGTGGCTACACTAAACAACAGATTTTCACTGGAGACAAAGCAGCCTTCTATTGGAAGAAAATGCCATCTAGAACTTTCACAGCAAGAGCAGTCAATGCCTGGTTTCAAAGCTTCAAAGGACAAGTTGACTCGCTTGTTAAGAGCCAATACAACTAATGACTGTAAGTTGAAGCCAGTGCTCGTTTAGCATTCTGAAAACCTTAGGTCCCTTAAAAAGTACATTAAATCTACCCTACCTGTGCTCTAGGAATACAGTAACAAACCCTGCAAGATGGCACATCTATTTATAGCATAGTTTACTGAATATTTTAAGCCCACCATTTAGACCTACTGCTTAAAAAAAAAAGTGCTTCAAAATATTGCTGCTCATCAACAATGTACCTAGTTACCCAAGAGCTCTGATGGAGATGTACAAGGAGATAAATGTGGTTTTCATGCCTGCTAATACAACATCCATTCTGCAGCCATTCTTGATCCATTCTGCAGTGCATGGATCAAGGAGTAGTTTTAAATTTCAAGTCCTATTAAGAAATGCATTTTGTAGGGCGATATCTCCCATAGATAGTGATGGATCATTCCTCTGATGGATCTGGGCAAAGTAAATTGAAAATCTCAGAAGGATTTACCATTCTAGATACAATTAAGAACATTCATGATTCATGGGAGGAAGTCAAAATATCAACATTAACAAGAGTTTGGAAGAAGTTCATTCCAACTGTCATGAATGGTTTTGAAGAGTTTAAGACTTCGGTGGAGAAAAATCACTGCAGATGTAGTGAGAATAGCAAGAGAACTAGAATTAGAACTGGAATCTGAAGATGTGATTGAATTTCTGCAATCTCATAATAACACTTTAATAGATAAAGAACTACTCTTACGGATGAGCAAAGAGAGTGGTTTCTTGAGATGAAATCTGCTCCTGGTGAAGATGCTATAAACATGGTTGAAATGACAACAAGGAAATTAGAAAATTACATAAACTTAGTTGATAAAGCAGTGACAGGGTTTCAGAGGATTGACTCCAATTTTGAAAGACGTTCTTCTGTGAGTAAAATGCTATCAAATAGCATCATAGAATACGGTGCAGTCTTTTGTGAAAGAAGAATCAGTTGATGTGGTAGCTTCATTGTTGTCTTATTTTAAGAACTGCTACAACCACGTTAACCTTCAGCAACCATCATGCTGATCAGTCAGCAGCTGTTAATATCAAGGCAAGATCCTCCACCAGCAAAATGAAAATGACTTGCTGAAGGTTCAAATGACTGTTAACATTTTTTGCCAATAAAATATTTTTAAATTAAAGTATCTATTTTTGTTGTTGTTATTGTTCTTTTTCTTCATTTTGGTCTCCTGTGAGGAGCCAGTTAAAAGCCTACTTTGATAGCCTGAGGAAAGCACGCTGTTGGCTTAGACCATGACGGTACTGATAGACATAAAGAAAAGTGGGTAGATTGGAAGATATTCTGGAGATAAAGCTAACAGGATTTTTTTAAAGTATCTAATTTTTTAATGTAATGATACTGAATACTTAATAGACTACAGTATAGTGTATACATAACTTTTATATGTACTGGGAAACCAAAAATTTTGTGTAATTCACTTTATTGCAATATTCACTTTATTGAGGTAGTGTGGAACCAGACCACAAATATCTCTGAGGTATGCCTGTGTTGACGCTGTTATCTCAGAACTGGGCTATCATGGGAGTTGGTTCCTGAAAATAAGGTGAAGTTCTGCCTCCTCCTGTTCTCTTACTCTCACTCTCTCTCTCTCTCTTGCTCTTCTGCCATGTGTGAGGTAGTAAGAACACCTTAATCAAATGCTAAGCAGATACTAGTGCCATCATCTTGGACTTCTCAGCCCCCAGAAACATAAGCCAAATAAATTTCTTTTCTTTATAAATTATCCAGTTTGTAGTATTCTGTATAGTAGTAGAAAATGGATGAGGACATATGGTTTATACAACTGAGTGAATACAGAAGTAATTCACCCCTCTGTCTTTCAAACTTCTAGAGCCTAGCACACCTGTTAGGGAAGATGGTAGTGTGTGAGAGGAGATTTTATTTTATTTGATTTATTTTGAGATGGAGTCTCTCTCTGTCACCCAGGCTGGAGTGCAGTGGCCTGATCTCAGCTTATTGCAACCTCCGCCTCCCGGGTTCTTGTGCCTCAGCCTCCTGAGTAGCTGGGATTACAGGCACACACCATCACACCTGACTAATTTTTGTATTTTTAGTAGCACAGAGTTTCACCATGTTGGCCAGGCTGGTCTCGAACTCCTGACCTCAAGTGATCCACCTGCCTTGGCCTCCCACAAAGTGCTAGGATTACAGGTGTAAGCCACCGCGCCCGGCCGAAGAAGAGAATTTAATATGCTAAGGTCTGTGCAGTTTACCCAGAATACTTTATGTATAAAGATACAGATTAAAAATATACCTATATAGGGAGATAAATATTTGATACAGAAAGATAGATATAAGAATAGATGTAACTATATATAATAACAGAAAGATGTAACTTTCTGTTACTTTCATTAATATTGAATTGGGATAGGGGATTTCCAACATTTCAGATATTCCCGTGACTGTTGCTAATAAACATAACAGTTGACCTGGCAAAATATCATGTACTTAATTAGCTATAGGAGTGATTACATCAATATTATGTATAATATTATATATATTTATATACATATTATATATGAAACACTAATTGTAAGTTAACATTCTTAACTCATCAGATATCTCAATTCTTAGTCATTCTGAATCAATAAAAGCTTACCCTTTTGCTCACAATGGGCGCTTGATCAGTATTACTGATTTTGAATTTTACGATTTTCTTTTTTAATAGATCTTACTTTCCACCTTTTCTGTGCCTTTATTAGCAACTAACTTGAGCTTTGTTCTCACTGTGAGGTCTACTCCCTTGAACTGGCCTTATAGTTCTGATTTATCAACCTCTGTCTGGCTTCACTTTTCTCCTTAACTTAGATTGTGAGAGCCATATTAAGTTTATTTAATTGTCTTCTCACTGATGCTCTCAAATCTCTTACCTGTTGGACTTTCGATCCCTGTACTCTAATTAACCCCAACTCTGTGATCATTATGGTGTTTCTTCACTGCTAGCAGCCTATTTTAGCACAGCTGGAGAAAAGTGGATAAGAAAACTCATACTAATCCACTCCAGATCCCTACTGTCCAGTCCTATTTCTGTAGCTCTACTACCATGTGTCTCCTGATTCGATATGACTTCATCGTCTAAAAGACTTTCCTCCTTCTCCTTATATCCTAATCTATTTTCTCCTTCTCAGGTTTGAAATCTCCATTTTTTCATTTGACCATGTGTATCAACACCACCCCAGATAATCTGTATAAATCTTCTCTATACAAAGGCATCCCGTATATCCAGCCTCTTATTCTTTTTTACTGTCTCAAAGAAAAGATAAAAACAGACATATTGCCTTCCTATTTTAGTGCTTAACTCACTATCTGGACTTCGATATTAACCCTTTTTTTCTGTTCTTTAAAACTTATTTCATTAATTAATCATTGTCCATATTTCTGCCTTTCTTCTTACATTTGCTCTGCCCACAAACGTGCCTTCATTTCTCTGTCTCCTGACAAAGCCTTTCCTCACGCTGGCAGTCTCCCAAGGTTCAATTTGTCTTGTCTTCTTGCTACTAAACCTTGTGAAACAGTAGTTATGATTCTTTCCCAAAATCCTATCATTCTTTCACTTCTTGCATAGTGACTTTCACTACAAATACTTGATAATAACCAGTCTGGAACCCTTTGCTCAGCCTTCACTTCGATCGACTTCAATATCTGACCAGGGTAAACATCCCTTGTTTCTTGAACCTAACTCACCCTTGATTCTGCATGATAGTTTTAATTTTGACCATTCCACTATTTCTGTAAGAAGAATGGACATTATCATTTATGAAGTTCTTGCATCAGTTTATATATATATATTTTTTTTCTGTTATTTCAGACAGTGTTGTAATTTTTTTTTTAAAGGGCAGGTAAATTTTTCTTTTTTTTCTTTTTTTTTATTATTATACTTTAAGTTTTAGGGTACACGTGCACAATGTGCAGGTTAGTTACATATGTATACATCTGCCATGCTGGTTATATATTTTAAAATGTGCTCTAACAACTATCATCCTCACTTAGTTCCCAATAGCAACCAACATCTTACATTCTCTATTGTTGGTGCTGCCAGTTTGTGAATAGATCTCATTTCTTTTTCATAATCTCAGGACCTCTCTCTCTTTCTTTCCCCCCACCTTTTTTTTTTTTTTTATCTTTTTTTGTGGAGACAGAGTCTTGCTCGGTGGTCCAGGCTGGAGTGCAGTGGCACAATGTCTGCTCACTACAACTTCCACCTCCCGGGTTCAAGCAATTCTCCTGCCTCAGCCTCCCGAGTAGCTGGGACTACAGGCACCCACCACCACGCCTGGCTATCAGGACCTATTTCTTAACCTCCAAACTCATATCTCTACCTACTTGCTCATTACTGTTACTTAAATATTTTGATATGAGCAGCATAACCAAAACAAACCTTATCATTTCTATGGCCCTTATCTCTAAATTAATTTTTTCTCCTTGCTTTGAAAATATTTATTCACAGACAGTACTTCTTAAAGGAATTGCAACTTGAAACCTAAAAGCAATTCTTGATGCCACTGTCTATTTTTTCTCCTTTAAAACATCTAGTTTTATTCTGTTTCTCTTTTTCGATGACTTCCTTTTAACCTTTCTCCTTTTCCACTTAACTGCCACTTTCTTAGATTTAGTTCTCTTTTTTCTTTACTTGGATGGTGACCAAACTTTTTTTTTTTTTTTTTTTTTTTTGGAGACACGGTCTCTGTTGCCCAGGCTGGAGTGCAATGGCGCAATCTCAGTTCACTGCAACCTCCACCTCCCGAGTTTAACTGATTCTCCTGCCTCATCCTTCGAAGTAGCTGGGATTACAGGTGCCCATCACCACACTCAGCTACTATCTGTATTTTTAGTAGAGATGCGGTTTCACTGTGTTGGCCAGGCTGGTCTCAAACTCCTGAACTCGTGATCTGCCCACCTCAGCCTCCCAAAGTGCTGGAATTACAAGCGTGAGCCACCAGGCCTGGCTGGTGACCAAACTTTCTATACCTTATGTTGTGTGGCTTTATCAAGAATCATCACAAATGTTCTATTCCTCCATCCCACTATATTTTTCAATTCATGCATAATTTTATCATTTTATTTGCTTCAATAAATCTTTTCCAAAAAGAGAAATATTTGTAGGACTACAAGACTTCTGAAATTTCTTTTATTCAGTTATATTGTTTATGTGTCCTAAGGCCCCCATGCTATTTGTTTCTGAAATATGGAGTGCCTTCTGGGTGAGTTTTCATGAAAAATTCAGGAAGCTACATTTGTGTTTTCTTCTTTGTAATGTAACTATCTTTTAGGTATTTTCCTTTTCTTCATGAGAAACTCTGTAGTGTAACTCTTAATTTACATAAAAATAATAAATATATGCAGGAAAGGATGAAAAACATTATTATTTTCCTACTGGGGAAAAAAATACAAATGTGAATAATTAAAGATGAATCCCTGTTAGTAACAGAGCAATAGCCCTTCGTACTTGGCTTGTGGATGAAGGGAGTCCACATGCCCTCACCACGTGATGTCCCCCGAATGAGCACTAATTGCCTTTTGTCTGGCGCTAACAGGCGTCTTCTCTTAAAACCATTTTCCTGAGGCTCAAGCCCAGGGATGAGCGTTGATCTGTCTCTTTTGTCTTGTTTCTTATTTAAAGGCGTGTACTGGCGAAAAGACGGAGCACCAGAGGGTTTTGTTTTTAGCTGCACGGCTCCTGGGATCTGTGACAGAAACTGACCTTCTAGTACACCAGACCCTTAAAGAAATATCTGCCTTCCTTCCATGTCAAGGATTGACTTAAAAGGTTTTCTGGGCTAATAGATTAAATTACTCTTTAAGGCCAAAGGGCTGAGGTATGGAATTATACCTGATGTAAGAAAGAAAGAAATTAATAAGAGGATATGAAGGTAATAAATCTTCCTTTATGCGTAACACATGAAGTGTGATTTTATTGCTGAGACTGAAATATTCACACCAGGTTTTTTGGAGGTGTGCACCTGACTCAGAGCTCTCCACATAATGCTGAAAACATGACAGCTAATGTTCATTGGCCTAATACTGGTGAAATATTCCTGACGGTGCCACCTCTTCTGATACACTATTTTTTATTAGGTACTTAAAAACTTCAGTGGGCATAAGAAATATAATTGAGTGTACTCAAGAGTTGTAAAGGCTATTCTTTAAAGTAAGTGCACAACATCATAAAATCTGCAACATCATAAAATTGCCTTCATATAGAGCTTGGCTTGATAGAGAAAAAAATAAAGAAACACAAGTCTGTGAGATGGTCAAGAGCAAAACTTGTTGATTTTTGCTTGTTGATTCCAGCCCCTTGCCTAGAGTATAGTAGATATGCCAATGAAACTAGAAAAATTATTTCACAATCATCTTTCAAATATCAAAACTTAAGATATACTAGATATTACTGCATTGTCTCCTAATTCGCATGTCAAAGCTCAGCTTAAACCTTCATTAAAAGACCCTGATTTGTGTTCTTCTGATTAAGTTGCATAAGGAGCTCTTTGCATTTCTACTTTTCCAGTAAATTGCAAGAGGTATGACTTACTAAAAGCATAAAGAACCAGTTTATTTTATAGTTGAGCATGCTGACACCACAATTTCTGAAATGGAAACACTCAACTCGGGCCCAATTAGGCTCAGAGAGGCTCTAAGAACAGAAAAGATGATATTGTCTCTTATCCAAATTTTGAATCTAGATTAATAACTCTGTAGAACAAATGTAATGCCGTCAGTTCCGTATTACTGATCTTACTCATGATGGGTGCCTTAGTGACATCAAGCATCAAATTATTCCCTGTATAGGGACGAGAGTGACTTCATTTTAGATGCTAATCCACCACGTGCCTCCTGATGAATCTCGAGCCCCGGAATGCCTCCAAGATATTTAGTTGATGTAAACCCTTTTTGTAGAAGGACCTATTTACTGTAAGTTTCGCCTTTCCTCCAAAACCAGCCTTGGTGTTGCTGTGTCCCTCATAGACTGTGGTGCCCACAGCATTCTCTCAGCCACCTACACATTCTTCCAGAACACACATACTTTTCCGCATGATGTAAGTTCTGGGTCTTGGGGATTTTAGTGCAGAGATCTAGCTGTCTTGTGGTTGCCCAAGACCACACTTCTGTCTTTAACTTCTCTAACAAATAAATAGAATAAATCCTTTATGGGCAAACTGGATTTGTCCGCCTCTTTCTTCGGTTCCTTGCATTTGAGGGGACCACTTTGCATTTATGGCCCTTTCATGGAACACCTTATATCTGCATCTACATCATTTATATCTGCACCTAGACAGAGGTAGCTATCTCTCTCCATCTCTATCATCTCTATCTCTATTGCTCTGATGGAGCCCTCAGCATGTACTTCGTCAAATAATCCAGCTCTGAAAAGCCGCAAGCACAAGAGAAAATAGCTGATTACAGTTTGGATGTGTACATTGTGTTCTTCCCAGAAAAGCATTTTGGTAGTACCTAGAAGAAAAAGGAGTAAGTCTTTTTTCTTTTAGTTAAAAAGGCAAATAATTTAATAATCACAGAAACAAAAAATTAAATATGAAAGCAGTCTTTTAGGGTTTCTAAACAATAAATATTGATTATGAAATTCTAAATCATGTATTGGCAGAAAATCTTGCAAGAGCTTTGAAGAAAAATATATTCCTACTCACTTGAGAAATTATAATGATTCAGAAGCTATTAACTTTTGTTTGTTTGTTTGTTTGTTTTTGTTTTTGACATGGAGTCTCCCTCTGTCACCCAGGCTGGATTGCAGTGGCATGATCTCAGCTCACTGCAACTTCCACCTCCTGGGTTCACGCCATTCTCCTGCCTCAGCCTCCCAAGTAGATGGGACTACAGGTACCTGCCACCAAACCCAGCTAATTTTTTATATTTTTAGTAGAGACGGGGTTTCACCATGTTGGCCAGGATGGTCTCGATCTCCTGACCTTGTGATCCACCCACCTTGGCCTCCCAAAGTGCTGGGATTACAGGCATGAGCCACCGCACCCAGCCTTAGAAGCTATTAACATTTTTAAATCTCTATATTCATTTACAATTTGAAGATATTATATACTATAAAAATATTTGACATAAAATAGGGGTACATTTTCTTTCTCTTACTCATTATAAAATAAACTCACCCATGAAACCAATTATAATAATCATTTAAAAATCTGTGTTAAATGAAATCTATAGTAAATAACAGCATAGATGATAATTAAGTGTAAGTTCAAACTATTCTGAGTAAGAATTGGTTTTTACTTCTTTTCTGATGAAATAAGGTCATCTAAAGGTAAGGTGAAAGTTAGTTTGAAAAGTACATTAACATTCATTCTCATAGGTAAGAATTTCATATTCTAGGGAAAAATTGACTTATACAATCTAAGAGCCCTTCAGATATAATGTCTTCATGTTTTAATTTATGAATTTCGTTTTCTTTATTATTTTCTAATTTCTCTCCTCATGTTAGTTCTGTCTTTAAAGCAGTGGACACGAAGGTAAGGCAAGTTAGAAATCACATTATTATCCTACCATTTAAAAAACAAAAGAATATTAAATTATCAATACTTTCATATTATGATAATTTTTGTTTATTTCTTGAGACAAGTTCTCACTCTGTTGCCCAGGCTGGAGTGCAGTAGTGTGACCACAGCTCACTGCAACCTCGATCTCCTGGGCTCAAGTGATCCTCCCACCTCAGCCTTCCAAGTAGCTGGGCCTACAGGTGTGCACCACCATGCCAGGCTAATTTATAAATTTTTGTAGAGATGGGTTTCACTATGTTGTCTAGGCTGGTCTCATACACCTGGGCTCAAGAAATCCTCTAACCTCAGCCTCCCAGCATGCCGGAATTATAGACATGAACCACCACACTCAGCCATAAAAAAATTTTTAATGCAATTTTCTGAAGAAAGTATTTAATTACAATTACAAAGTACTATAAACTATATGTCTACATTTATTCCAGTTGTGCTGTTTTTTAAAATTGCAGATTTTTATATATATATACATACATATATACAAATATGTGTATATGTGTGTATATCTTTAATAAGTGGATGAAAAATGCATTTATTTAATAAATATATATACACACATTTATATGTGTGTGTATATGTATATATTTACACATTTATATATGTATATGTGTATATGTATATATGTTTGTAGACATATACATGTATGCAAATGTGTGTGTGTGTGTGTGTGTATATATATATATTTATTAAATAAATGCATGAAAAATGTTTAAAGCTCTTTAGGCTAGATTTGACATACCACTTGGATTGGCTGGGCACGGTGGCTCACACCTGTAATCTCAGCACTTTGGAGGCTGAGGTGGGTGAATCATGAGGTCAGGAGATCGAGACCATCCTGGCTAACATGGTGAAACCCTGCCTCTACTAAAAATACAAAAATTAGCCAGGCATGGTGGCAGGCACCTGTAGTCCCAGCTACTCAGGAGGCTGAAGCAGGAGAATGGCTTGAACCCGGGAGGTGGAGGTTGCCGTGAGCCGAGTTCGAGCCACTGCACTCCAGCCTGGCAACAGTGTGAGACGTCATCTCAAAAAATTAAAAAAAATAAAATAAAATACCACCTGGATTAAGGTCTGTTGTAGAATATCCATAAACTCTCCATCAAGCTACCTTCTTTTCTGTGAGACTATCATAGGATGAGATCTAAAGCCTATCTTCAGGAGAGTTTCATTCTCGGTAAATTTCAGAAAGAAGCTCTGAAATCTAGACAATATTCTCATGGATCAGAATACTCTAGATGTTACTAAATATGTACGGAAGAATCAGTAATTCCCACGTGACAACCTAAGGACCAGTTACTTCTAAATTACCTGAGAAGCTTTGAAAACATTAGCTTACGGGTCACAGCCCTGGACCTTCTAAAAGTGATCACTCAAAGATCTGTACTTTTTTTTTCTTTTATTTTTTCCTTTGAGATGGAGTCTTGCTCTGCTGCCAGGCTGGAGTGCAGTGGTGCGATCTCCACTCACTGCAACCTCCACCTCCCGGGTTCAAGCAATTCTCCTGCCTCAGCCTCCCGAGTAGCTGGAACTACAGGCGCCCGTCACCACGCCCAGCTAATTTTTTGTATTTTTAGTAGAGACGGGGTTTCACCGTGTTAGCCAGGATGGTCTTGATCTCCTGACCTCATGATCCGCCCACCTCAGCCTCCCAAAGTGCTGGGATTACAGGCGTGAGCCACCGCGCCCGGCCAGATCTGTACTTTTAAAGGCTTTACAGGATGATTCCTGTGCACTGCTAGGGTTTGAAATCCGTTTCACATTTTGTGGTCCTACAAGAATCAGTTGCAATAAATGTAGGGATGTTAAAAATAAATTTTAAAATAACTGCTATTCACCGTTCTCTCATTCAGTCATCCTCACTTGCTTTTGGCAATCACGTCTCAGGTGGCCTTCTCAAAAGTATCTAAGTATCTGCCATTATCATCCCTCATTGTACAACAGAAGCTGAGGCCTGGACTCCAGATGAGCTCCAGGAAAATGCACCTAGGAAGTGTACATGAAGGAGTCTGATTCTGTAAAAATGCATCTAGGAGGTGTACACGAAGGAACGAAGGAGTCTGATTCCATAAAGCAATTCCCGAGAGCCTTCACACTGTGCAGTTTCCAGCAAGGAGACATCTCACCCTCCTGTGTTCCATCTGTACAATTCAGTCATGGATTGAGAGTTGCTCCTGAAGGAGATAAGTTAATAACAAGTGCATTTCATTAGTCAGAGTCTGGAGCTGACCAGCCTGGTTGACAGAATTCGAGCTCTGTCAGACACGAGAGTTCTGGGGAAGAGAGCTTGGGGTAAATTAGAATGTTTAGAGGGAGGGAGGCGGAAACAGAAAAAAAAAAAAGAAAAGAAACAGGAGCCTATAGTGAGGTGAGGCCAGACCAGGTTCAGGACATGCCACCCCAAAACATGGTGCCTGGGCGTTTGAGAAAACAACAGAAGCAGGAAGGCCTTGCTCACCTTCCCCTCGCCCTTTCTCCCTGCAGCAGCCATGAAACCTGGGAAGGTGACTCTCTGACCTTCTCCCTCCCCTCTCTCCTGAAGAGCCTCCTGGGAGAGCATCCTGGCTTGTCCTACATCTGGGAGGAAAGCACGTGACATGAGGACACCAAGAGGAATGTGAACAGCCTCCCCTGTCTATTTCCATTAGACCATTCCCTTTGTCCTCCAGTCCAATTTTGCACAACCGTCCAAAAAATACAGACTCCCTGTTTATTTGCATCATTTCTGAAGGCTCGTGTGTCATGTAAAATTTATATTAAATAAGTTTCTATGTTTTTCTGTTGTTAGTCTGTCTTCTGTTGTTGGGGTCTCAGCCATCGATCTTGTGCTGGGCGAGGGAAATCTGTTACTTATTCTTCCCTGTAGACCGAAGGTCCGTATTGGCTCTGATGGAATTTTGCTCTTCATCATTTCTATAAGAATCTATTTTCTCTATAATTACAAATAAAGAGGCTTACAATACAATATTAATTTGAAAATTCAACTGAACAATAATTTGAATAGATAGGCAGAGTAGAAAGGCAAGCACATAGACAAGTAATTAAAATACAAAGAAGTTTGTAATTTTCAAGGCTGTAATTCTGCTGCGTGCGATTGAAGACTATGTAGGAGGAAGCATTTGAGCTGAATGGGTGAAATGTTGACAGCTTGAATTTAGGAGAAGGGCAAAAAGCAGAGAAGTGGAAAAGTGGAGTATACTTTAAGTCAACGCCAGGATGTTTTGTATGCCAAAAATGAATTGTGGCTTAGTAAGATCATGATGTGAAAAATAAGACAAAAAAGACAGAATCATAGATCAAGTTAAAAAGTTTGCATTTCATCCTGTAGACAATGTTGAACCATGTGAAGTGTTCAGTAAGAATATAACATGATCAGAACTGTGCTTTAGGAAAGCCTGAGAAAGAACGGGGGTAAGAAAACCATGTTAAAGTCAAATGCAGCAGTCTGCATAAAAGGCCTTACAACTTACAACTAGAAACCAACCAAAACCACATATTATTATTTCTGTGTAACTACAGACACTCTTCGACTTACAACGGGGTTACATCCTGATAAATCCATCACATAACTTGAAAATATCACTAAGTTCAAAATTCATTTCATACACTAACCTACCACATCATACCTTAGCCTAGCCTGCCTTAAACATGCTCAGAACACTCACATTAGCCTACCGCTGGACAAAATCAGGTAACACAAAGCCTATGTTATGATGAAGTGCTGAATATCTCCTGTAATTTATTTAACATTACACTGAAGGTGAAAAACAGAAAGGTTGTGTGGGTACTGGAAGTACCGTTTCTACTTAAAATGTATCACCTTCTCATCATCATAAGGTCAAAAAATCATACTTTGAAACATCATAACTCGGGGACCATCTGTATTGGACCAAAACTGGATGAGGGTTCAAACTATGACACAGACATAATGGATGAAAAGAATGGACAAGATTTAAAAGTCATTGCAGAGATAAAGAGAACAGCATAATTTGTAAATACCTTACCCTGGCTTGCTTCAGAAAAAAAAAAGAAGTCCTTATCATCTTTCTGTTTAAAACAGCTTTATTGAGATGAACTTTACATATCACAAAGCACAACAACTAGCTTAAAGTGGGAAACAAGAGTTTTTAGTACACAGAGTTGTGCATCCATTACCTAATTTTAGAACATTTTCATATTTGCCAAAAGTAATATCATACCCAGACTGGTTGCAGTGACTCACACCTGTAATCCCAGCACTTTGGGAGGCCAAGGTGGGAAGATCGCTTGATCCCAGGAGTTCAAGACCAGCCTGGGCAACATAGTGAGACTATCTCTACAAAAAAAAAAAATCAGTAAATAATTAGCTGGGCATAGTGGTGTGCACTGCAGTCCCAGCTACTTGAAAGGCCTGATGGGAAGATCACTTGATCCCAATAGGTGGAGGCTGCACTGAGTCATGGTCGCACCACACACTTCAACCTGCATGACAGAGCAAGATCCTGTTTCAAAAAGAAAAGACAGGAAAGAAAAAAAAAAATCTCATACCCATTGGGAGTCACACTCTATCCCTCCTCCCTCTTCTAGCCATAAGCAACCACGAATGTACTCATCATTTCTTGCTTGTATTTTCTATTGAGCTCTAAGCTATTATGAAAAAGACTTAGTCTTTTAATTAATACACAATACTTAATGCTAAACATTTGTTTGTGGGCTGGGAGCGGTGGCTCAAGCCTGTAATCCCAGCACTTTGGGAGGCCAAGGTGGACGGATCACCTGAGGTCAGGAGTTCGAGACCATCCTGGCCAACATGGTGAAACCCCGTCTCTACTAAAAATACAAAACTTAGCTGGGTTTGGTGGTGCACGCCTGTAGTCCCAGCTACTCAGGAGGCTGAGGCAGGAGAATCGCTTGAACCCAGGAGGCGGAGGTTACAGTGAGCCAAGATCGCGCCACTGCACTCCAGCCTGGGTGACAGAGCAAGACTCCGTCTCAAAAAAAAAAAAAAAAAAAAAAAAAAACAGAAACATTTGTTTGCGTAAAACATGATATTCAAGAAGCTCATGTCCCTTCACTCAATGTCCATCTTACACACACACACCCCACAGGTATTTCCAGTGCAAGAGAAGAAGTTCTGCTTCTCTTGCTCTTGAGAAGAGCAGAAAGGCCCTGAGGTGGCTGCAGAGACCCGCAGAAGCCACCAGCTTATGCTGTAGGAACATAGAACGTCAGAGCTTAAAGGTCCCATTACTTTTTTCCATTTCTCACCTTGGGGTTTGCAATCTTGAGCTCTGTAAGGAAACAATGGAATATTACCAAATTGTGGACAGGGCTGGCTCTGGAGGCCTGGAGGCCCTCGGCCCACACCAGACCATGAGACACACTAGAGTTGGCTAGAGTTGGGTCCAGATGAACCAGTTCAGACTAAGCCATGCTTGGTATATAGTGAAAGCCTCTCTTCAAGATTGTGATGGACCTTCCATAACGCTGCCAAAATTCCCAGCAGAATCTGAGCATCCAGAGGCTTCATGCTAAAGCCTCTCCTTTCCTCTCCTCTCTTTTCTCTCTTCCTCCCGTCCCCTCCACTCCCTTCCCCTCCCCTCTCCTCTCCTCTCTTCTTTCCCTTCCTCCCCTCCCCTCCCCTCTCCTCTTCTTAAGAAGGTGCAAGCTCAGGAGCTTTCTGACCTCTCCAAGCTACTGCTTGATCCTAGGGTTTTACAGAGCTTGATAAATTTAGATACATTGCTACATATTTTATCATCTTACTGGTTGATTTTATGATCTTAGCTTAAAAGGACAAGTATTATAGACACTGTCTCTAACTTTGAGGAAATTCATTAAGCAAGACGCAGCACATTGACAATAATGTTTTACCATCTTCCATATGAATTTACCAAGTCACTTAAATTTCTTTCAACTCTCAAGGATTTTCTTTTCAAGATTGTTTTGAAGATTAAAAACAAGACAATGAATGAGAACATAATCTGTAAGTGATAAGTGATACTCGGTATAAATGTGCTATTTCTGCATGAAATAGTCTAGGTTTCCTTGGACTTACTGACAGGAGGATTCATGTTTAGTTCTTTGAATTTTTCTGGAGTCTATGAAGCTTTCTAATACACAGCACACTACATTTCTTACTGGGAAAGTGGGTGTTTATTAGCGCTCAGATTCCTTCTGAACCATACCACTAGCTCATCTGCAGATTCCTTCTGAACCATACCACTAGCTCACCGTACACACTCACCATTTACACTCCTCTAAAAAAAATAGTCATTTGACAGTTGGGTCCAAATTCTCTCGGCTGCAGAAGGCAACACAACTCCAAAGTCACTCACTGTCTTTTTTATCTTTGTATGCAACGAGCTGTCATTCTATTGGTCCCTACATGTCAGCAGTCCTCTTATCTGTGTTTCAGAGTCGAAGGATTTGAAGAACATGATTTCATATTTCCTTGCAATTGTTCCTTCTGATTTCTCACAGGAATCAGAAAAAAAAGACAGTATTCACACATTATTTATAATTATTAGCTGGTTACAACACCTCTCTTGATGTTTAGCTTGCTTGCAACATGACATAGAATTATGGCAACTCCTGAATTTAGCAATGTAAGGCCCTTTCAAAAATGTGCATCCAATAATTGAATTGTTTTCACTTCTTCCCAGTGCTTTGAACCTGAGTGGCAAAGAAAGCTCAATCATATTCTCGAAAGAACAAACTATTTGGAGAACTCCAGGTTCTAAAAAATGTTATATTTTATTTTCTAAAATAACTTATTTTCCAAAATTACTTTTTTGTTGTCTTGAAAAATAAGCTGGAAACAATGCCAACTCTGGACTTTTCTTTTAGAGATGGCAAAGTTAAGTAATTTCTTTTATGATCGCAGAAGCCAGTATACACAAAGCAAATCATAATTAAAGATTTTATGTAAGAATTTTTTAAAGTATCAACTGTACTTAAATATAAATGCTTAATTTTATTCCTACTTAAGGTTTTCAACAATATTAGATGTTGAACAGTTGACTTACGTTAATTAGGGTTTCCATAAAGGTTTCAGAAGGAAAAAAAATTACTATAGCACTGTAGGATTAGAGTAGAAGAGAAAATGCCATATTTTTATGTTTATATTTGAATACTCATTTAATTTTTTACCATTATCAAATAATCCTTATTATATGAACTTGTACATGTATATTTTATAAACCCTGTCTACAGGGTTTAATGTAGAATTCAGCTGCAGAGAGTCAACAATTAGAGCTTTTTCATAAATATTAAAGTTATAGCTTGATCTAATGCAGTTTCTATTTTTCCAAATAGATCTGTAGTCTCCCCAGCACAGAAACTACAAAAGCTGTAGGACTTGGCTATGGTTTCCACTCGGTCTCATTGAGCCTACAGAAGCATTTTCCCTTAAGAATTAGAGATAAACAAAGGCAACCCTGAAAACACAAAATGAGCAGGGCTTTCCATAGCTTGATTGCCTCTGCGAAAGCAGCTCTGGGCTGGGTTACGGCCACTCAAAGGAGAAAGCGGCCCATCCCAGGGAGACAGTAGATTGCTTCAAATGCAGAGATCTTCCAAGGTTGACCCCCAGCAACATGCCCTAAAGTCTCTGGGTGGAAGGTGAGGAGGGTGAACTGGAACTAAGTTTGCTGATAGCGTAAGAGGCACCCACTAGTTACAAAGCATTATGGACACTATCTTATTTGGAAATTGTCTTCTCTTTGGGAAAAAGAATGTTTTCTCTCAATCTGCAATGCTTTACTGCCCAAAGTCTATATTTTAGAAAACAATTTCTATTTCTTTGAAGCCATGTCTATTGATAATATTTCTTACTAGTTCTGTATTTTGGGAGTATATTGTCACATAATAATGCTGCTATTGTGTTTTGTGTGATTTTAAAATATTCTTAAATTGACAAATAATAATTATGAGTATTTATGGGGTACATAGTGATGTTTCAATACATACAATGTATGATGATTAGATCAGGGTCATTAGCATATCCAGCAACTCAGACATTCATCATTTCTTTGTGTTGGGAACATTCAATAAACCTTTTATTTCCTTTTACTGTTGAATACTTACTTTGTCTTAAAAACATTCCTTCTTAACTAATTTTGCTTCCTGCTCTCCTTCTCAAAATGGTTTCTTTACAAGGCAATTCATACCCTTATGGTTTTTTCCTATAGTTTTAATCACCTATTTTTTTGATACCCGAACTTGTCCTTTCTGTCCCTTTGCTAGTACAAATACTCTGCTCTCCTTCAGATCCACATCCCTGTCCAGTTAACCATACACCAAGTTCAAAATGCTGCTTTTGCTCTGGACCTTTCTGTAATAAATCAGGATTTTTTTTTTTTTTCGAGACAGAGTTTTGCTCTGTTGCCCAGGATGGAGTAGAGTGGGGCGATCTCGGCTCACCGTTACCTCCACCTCCTGGGTTCAAGCGATTCTCCTGCCCCAGTCTCCTGAGTAGCTAGGACTACAGGCATGCGCCACCACACCCGGCTAATTTTGTATTTTTAGTAGAGATGGGGTTTCTCCATATTGCTCAGGCTGGTCTCGAACTCCCGACCTCAGGTGATCCCCCACCTCGGCCTCCCAAATTGCTGGGATTACAGGCGTGAGCCACCGTGCCTGACCACAAATCAGGATTTTTAGATATGATATCAAGAGATTTGAATGTGACTTTCTGTCATCAACAGGAACAGAGCTGGAATCACATGTCCCAAAACTTAAGGGAGGTAAAACAACTCAGTTTTGTATTCCTAAAGTTGACTAAAGGGAAACATTAAAAGAAATAATAGTTCATGTTTTTCCGTATTCATAAATCTTTACATTTTTAGATCATTTCCCTTCAAGAACTAACCAATGCAAATTACTACGAATTAGCAAGAGATAAAATATTCATTTTGATAATAAGTACACATTTATTCCAAATCTTATCTTCAGTCCCAGTTTATTCACAAAATGGAAAGGAGAGAGCTCAGTAGCATGAGTATAGGGGTAAAGCAATCATGAAGAAAATGCCCAAAGGAAAGAAAGACCTTTCCTGTAGTGTCCTCAGGTTAAAGGGACACTTTTGCTGTCTGTTTCTAATCCCAGATGGTCTGACCAACCTTCGTTTCTGGGAAAAGATGAGACTAGTACCTGAAATAGAAGGAAGAAAGAAACACACCAATGCATACATTGACTCCCTATTAAATTCTCAAAACTTGGTAATGATGACTTCACAGGGACTGAGAATTTCCTTGCCAATAAAATCAGATATTACCTACATGACAACTTTCTGGAAATTCATATTTTATACTCATTCAACAACAATTCCCTAGCAACACAGCATCTGCTCACTTACCTCAAAATGCAATTATATGCTTGTTATTTTATTGATCATGCATCTCTAACTTTTTGTTGGAAAAAGGAAAAAGCAACACTATCATGAGGTTCCTTCCAGGCCTGAGTTCCTGCCTCCCTCTGCCCCACGCACATAGGGCAAAACAAGGTCATTATCCTCCAAAGGTTTACAGCTGAATTAAAACATCTATAGTAATGTGAGTATGTGTTCCGCTTTGACTCATTTTTCTCAAAGCCTATAGATAATTGCTAGTTATGTAAGAAAACCACAATAATTTTTTTAAATAAATTATTTTAAAAATACATTAATAATGCTTTTCTCAGGTATAATTTTTTCTTATGTCAACATTTGGGAAAGTTATTTAGTATTAATTTTCTTAGATTCTTGGGCTTACTGAGTCTTTTTTTTTTTTTTTTTACAAAATATCAAATATATTGTAACTTATACACAATCCATCTTTCAAAATTATTGATCAAATAATCAGTGTCAACCTGGACAGGAGATGCCCAGCAGGTCTGTCCTCAATCATTTCTGGTTGCATGTCTTTATTAATGGCTAAGGGACTGGTAGTAATGGCAGGCTTGGGACATTTTTAGTTGATACAGATATGGACATACCCAGAAATAGAAAATAGAAAAGAACCAGTATTCAAAAAATTCTTAAATTTAACAACCTGTCAGCTCTGACTAGAAAGAAAATGTGACAAAGATAAAATATTTGGCACTGTTTTGGGTCTAAAATTCAAGAATTTTAAGATTCTTAAATTCAAGAATTTAGAATTCAGCATAAAAGAGTCTAGCTGTGTCTATGAATTCAGCGTAAAAGAGTCCAGCTGAGTCTATGTGTGTTCAAGAATTCAGCATAAAAGCGTCTAGACACAGCTAAAAACCCAACTCTATAAAGGGTTTTGGTTGCACGTGAGCTCAATACAAGTGACGGCTGTGATGCAGCTTCCCCAGAACCATCTGTGGGTGAGGAAAGAGAGGTGGAGACACTCCCTGGCACGGCCACTCCAAACACTACACTTTAAAGGCGGCATCGAGAAACAAGAAACTTTTTTTTTTTTTTTTTTTGAGACAGAGTCTGGCTCTGTCGCCCAGGCTGGAGTGCAGTGGCACAATCTCTGCTCACTGCAACCTCTGCCTCCCGGATTCAAGTGATCCTCCTGCCTCAGCCTCCTGAGTAGCTGGGATTACAGGCATGTGCCATCATGCCCAGCTAATTTTTGTATTTTTAGTGGAGACGGGGTTTCATGATGTTGGCCAGGCTGGTCTGGAACACCTGACCTCAAGTGATCCACCCACCTTGGCCTCCCAAAGTGCTAGGATTACAGGCGTGAGCTACTGTGCCTGTCCTTTTTTTTTTTTTTTTTTTTTTTTTTTTTGAGACAGAGTTTCACTCTGTCACACAGGCTGGAGTGCAGTGGTGCGATCCTGGCTCACTGCAACCTCTGCCTCCTGGGTTCCAGCGATTCTCCTGCCTCAGCCTCCCGAGTAGCTGGGACTACAGGCGTGTGCCACCACGCCCGGCTAATTTTTGTGTTTTTAGTAGAGACATGGTTTCACCATCTTGGCCAGGCTGATCTCAAACTCCTGACCTTGTGATCCACCTGCCTTGGCCTCCCAAAGTGCTGGGATTACAGGCGTGAGCCACTGCGCCTGGCCATGAAACTTAAAACATTTACGTATAGCATTAAAGATGGAAAGAGAACTTGACATATATTCATGTTCAGAATTTATAATATTAACATTGAAGAGAAAAAACTAAGGACAGAAACTAATATTGTCTTTAAAATATTTATAGATCTCTCAGGTAGAACAGTAGTGATTCCATGTGGAATTCTAGCTCAAAAGGGAGAAGTCCCAAGAATACAGATTTTTGATCTGAGGCTTGAGGTGGAGGAGAGAGATAGTGAGACAGGGAGAGAAATCCTAGCTGTAGGGTTATGAAATGGGCAACTGACAACCTTGAGAAATATTTCACAGAACCTGGAGGGATTCGTGCAGAAGTCAACGTCCTCTGAGAAAGAAAAGAGTGATTAGAAAAACTTCAAGCATTAGATGGCTGGGTGAACTAGACACAATGGAAAATCCAATCTAACACTGAAATGTTATGATGTAACAAATCTAACTCATGGCTAGGTGATTTGTCTTTTTCTCTTTGAAATTTCTCTTTTTTTTTTTTTTGAGATGGAGTCTCACTCTGTCACCCAGGCTGGAGTGCAGTGGCACAATCTCGGCTCACTGCAAGCTCCGCCTCCCAGGTTCAAGTGATTCTTGTCTCAGCCTCCTGAGTAGCTGGGACTACAGGTGCCTGCAACCACACCCGGCTAATTTTTTGTATTTTAGTAGAGATAGGGTTTCACCATGTTGGCCAGGCTGGTCTCAAACTCCTGACCTTGTGATCCGCCTGCCTCAACCTCCCAAAGTGCTGGGATCACAGGGATAAGCCACCAAGCCTGGTCTGTCTTTGAAATTTCTATCAGGAGAGTTGAATTTTTATCCATTGGAACAGGAAAGCAAAATGCCTGTAATGGTTAAACATGTAAATTACTCAATAGAAAATTACATTATACCTATATTATTAATAAATGTGTTCCCAAATACCAGAGAGAGAAACAAAAGTGGTTGTCTTTGAGCAATGGGACTTGGGGTGGTGTTGTAGTGAGGGGGTATTAAATAAGTATTCAATAATGGTACCACTGATTTCACTTTATTCTCACATTATTATGGTTTCTTTATTAAGAGCAAAAAATAAAAATGACTTATGGAAATATCAATTGAGAAAAATAAATATTTTACTTTTAGATTTTCCTGAGCATTTCTTCTTATTTCAAAGGGACTTTGAATGTTATCTAGTACATCTTAGCTTTATTGATTTTTGTTAATATTCAAACTGTAACCTCAAACAAGTCTATAGTATTTCATATGGATACAAAACTAGGCCATACAAAATACATTATCTTTGCCTTTGCCTATTGGCAGAACTTGCAGTATTTGGTCAGAGAAGAAGGAAATGCATAAAACTAAACAGCTGACCTTCAGGTTGCTTTTGAAAATCCGACTTGTTTGAGCTTTAACCAAATTTCTAACAGACACTGGCCAAATCCTACCAAGTGAAAAAGCAGGGAGAAAACTGGCTTCTGTGTAGTGAAAATAATAGGATCATAAAGAAAGAAGTACTGGCTAAATTTCCTCTAGTCCACTGCATTTTCTGCACAGTAATACTCTAGAAGTTTTTCTCGGTCTGTGATGTGACTTCAACCCCGCTTTTTCTCATTATTTTATTCAGTAAAATATGATAATGTCTCTTCTCTGGCATTACCATCAGATCTATTTAGAATGGGTGGTAAATGGATAGATAATAAGTAGAGAAGTGAGGTAGACAAGGACAGACACAGAGCCATATAGACACACATGTACTCCCCTTTGACAGCACCCACCTACTAAAGGGGGGTAAATTCTACCATTAGAAATGCATACTGTGAGTTGAACACGTTTCCATATTTGGGAACAACCTCTCATAATATAAATGCTTTGGGGGACTCCTAACACTTTACATTATCACAAATTAAAACCCCACAAAAGATTATAGAATCAACAACATCAGTGAACCTCAGGAAAAAGAGAAAGCTTTGATTGCAAGAAGAGTGTGGGCTTCCACTTAAGGTCCCTTGTGTAGAAAGCCTAAGGAGGCGGAGTATGGGCATAAGATGGAAGAAACACCTGCTGCCTGTAGCCAGGGCTGAGGGAGACGCGGCTGCTTTAACAGTGCCCCACTAAGGATGCGCGCCTCTTATGAAGGGCAGAGAAGCCCCAGTAAAAATGCAAAGTGCAAATAGGAAAGAGAATTCAGAAAATCCTGGCCATAGCTAATAATGGGGATATTTTCCTTGGAAAAAAAACTGGCTGTTAACATGGGCTTGGTTTAAAATAAAACCCCAATCTGATCAGGAAAAAACGAGACCTGGGTTGATGTCTGTTAGGTTGGAAGAGGGTATATTAAAAATAAAATGGAAGGGCGTCAAACCAAATGTGTCTTACTTTAGTCCAGAACTTGCTGATGTAGTTTGGATGTTTGTCCCCTGCAAATCTCATGTTGAAATGTGATCCCTGACGTTGGAGGTGGGGCCTGGTGGGAGGGGTTTGGGTCATGGGGGCAGACCCCTCACGAATGGCTTCGTGCCCTCCCTGCAGTTATGAGTTCTTACTTCCCGAGACCTGGTTGTTTAGAAGAGCCTGGCACCTCCCCCCTCTCTTGCTCCCTGTCTCACCATGTGATGCACCTGCTCCCCCTCTGCCCTCTGTCATGATTGTAAGCTTCCTGAGGCTTTCACAGAAGCAGACACTGGCACTATGCTTCCTGGATAGTCTGCAGAACCATGAGCCAAGACAAAAAATAAACTACCAGCCTTAGATATTCCTTTATAGCAATGCAAAACAGACTAATGTCCTGGCCTTCTGTTATCTACCTATAATAATAACAGTGCAATCATCTAGCGTGTTATGACCCTGTATGAAATTAACTGTTCTCAGTGATAGGCAAATTTCTTTTCTTTCTTCTTCTTTTTTTATTTTTTATTTTTGAGATGGAGTGTCTCTCTGTCGCCGAGGCTGGAGTGCAGTGGCATGGATCTCGGCTCACTGCAACCTCCGCCTGCTGAGTTCAAATGATTCTCCTGCCTCAGCCTCCTGAGTCGCTGGGATTGCAGGTACCCACCACGACGGCCAGCTAATTTTTTGTATTTTTTTGTAGAGATGGGTTTTCACCATGTTTGCCAGGCTGGTCTTGAACTCCTGACCTCAGGTGATCCACATGCTTTGGCCTCAAAAAGTGCTGGAATTACAGGAGTGAGCTACCCCGCCCAGCCAGGCAAATTTCAATGATGGTGTTAAAGTCATAATAACGTAATAGCAAAGGCTAAGTATCCATTCAAAGAAATGGCTCAAAAACAAGAACACTGTGGATTTTTATTTTCTTTATTTTGTTTTATTATCTTCATCATTTTGCATTATTTTGCCAATGGGCATATTTTCTGTAGGCATATGGGAAAATAATACCTTCAAAAAGGAAAATGTAGTAAGATTTTAAAATAGAGGAATGATAAAAAAAGTATTAAAGGTGTCATTGACATAAGAAAGAGTTTGTTTCCTTTACCATATTAACTGTATAATGGAGTTATTCATGTACAGAAATATAACTTTAAAATGGAGGAAGAAAACATTCGGAGAGAAACTATAGAAGTACAGATTAGTAGATGAAGAAATTGGCATTTTGGCCGCTTGCTGCCATTTGAATTCAAATCCGTGGGGTTGTTGTCACGTAATTAGGACAGAGCAATAATACCACTGGGGGAAGAGAAGCTTAAAGTGGTATATGATGGGTTGTGGTTTTGCTTGGATGCTAATCAGTACGTTAGGAGAGCACATGTGAGACCTTGGGTACGAGGAGAGTGACTTCCATGCCTAATTAACAAAATGTGATGTGCAGCTTGAACAAAGGCCTTTCTCTATACCTTTGAGTAGAATCCTCCAGTGAACTGGATCCCTAAGGGTCTTAAAATTTTAGATCATCTGGAATTAGTAGACTTGGCGTGGGTGTTGACATTCTCATAATGAGCAGTATCTTAGCTCTAATTCCTCAGACACCAGAGCTAAGGCAAAGGCTTAAGGGCAAGTATTTTATCGAGGAGTGGAATCCAGGAAGCAGGGGAACAAAACAGGGGAGAAGGGAGGCTGAATATAGAGATACATTTTTACGTTAGCCACAACTATCGACAGCTGCTTCCTTCATTTCGTTGATCTCCTACGGAAGTCTATGGACTATGTCTCAAGACTTTCTGGAGAAGTTATAGGAAAATGTGTATCCATTTTCTCCCAAGTTCCTTTGGTCAAAAGATTTCTCTAAAGGTTTAACTTCCCAAACCTCCAGGTAGCACATTCTTGAGCGCACAGCAGCTCACCATGACATTACTCTCAATGTGCCAACAGAGAAGTCTGGAACAGGAAGTCAGAGACGAACAGTGTAAGGTTAACGAGAGCAGTTCCGGTGTCACTCACAGGAAGAATGACAGATCTCTTTGTTTGGTCTGGGTTGCTGGTCTGTTGCGTTGACTCAAACCATCACCCCTACAGAGTTGAATCCATACTTTCTTCCTCTTACTGGACCATGACTGCTATAAGTGCCCGTTCATTGTTCTTACTGAACAGATAAATAACAGGAGATGGCCATATTAGTCTTTTTGGATTCTACATTTGTCACTGTCTCTCATAATAACCTGGACTAATTACCTCCTTAGCTGAGTATCTTCTTTCTTTGCCTCTGAGTACGTTAGTATGAGAAACCCAAAGTAATCAGACAGCAGTTCTAACTTGAAGTAACTTTATATTATGTGGAATTCTTTCTATATTCCCTATAGAAGCAGTTCTTTCTTGGGAACCATTATCCCTAATCCAGGAGAGCCTAATGTTGTGAGACTGGAAAACACAGTGATTCTTCAAGTGGATACTCACGTGTGATGGTGAGGGGGCAACTCTTTCACCCTGTGGTCCTGAGACCTGTGTTTTCTAGACATGTCAGTCTCAGCACCATGTATTGACTGCTGGCTCAGTAAATATTCTGTTTTCTGGAGGAGAGAGTCTCAAACATACAGAGCAGTGTCCCAAGTTCCACATGAGCTGAACCTATTACAGCTATTTGACCTTTCTAGCAGTTGCTTCTTAGCCCTGTGCATCTGACGGCCATGCACACACGTTGCCACACCTCCTTTATTCTAAAATGCACTCTTTGCCCTGAGCCGACATGCAAAATACCACAAATTTTTTCTTCCTCCATAGGTTGATCATAAGATGTCTCTCTTGACACCTTCCTTAGCTGAGGAGAAGACACTGGTGCTACTGAGGTATATGATATTGCACCTGGGCTACTCATGGCTACAACTTACTTGTGTCTTCTGGACCTTTTCAGGCCTAACTCTGAATTTATCTGTAGCAGGCAGACTCTAAGATGCCCCCATGATCTCCACCTCTTGGTGCTGAATGCCTTGTGCCTCATTCCATCCCCTGGAATGTCAATGGGACCTTGACTTGCTTCTAATCGATAGAATTTGGTGAATGTGATGAGATGTCACTCACATGATAGTTACAGTATATTACCCTGTTTTGCAGGCTGGCTTGTCACAGAGATTCTCCTTATTGGCTTGATGAAGTATAAGTGGCCATTGGCAGGAATTGCCGGTGGCTTCTCAGAACTACTGGCAGCCTCCAGAAGCTGAAGGTGGCTCCCAGCCCCAGCTGTCAAGAAGCTGGAGACCTTAACCCTGTGACTGCAAGGAAATGAATTTTTCCAACTTGGAAGTGGATTTTCTCCAGTAAACTCTAGATGAGAAAACAGTCTAGTCAACACCTTGATTTCTCAGCCATTGAAACCCTAAGCAGAAGACCCAGTTAATCTGTGCCCACACTCTTCATCCATAGAATCTGTGAAATAATACATGCGTGTTGTTTAAGATGCTAAATTTATGGTGATTTGTTACACAACTACAAACATCAGTACAATACTTTTCCCATCAAATATTGTATAATATATTGATGTTGCAAACCCTCAGTGTCATAAATTGACAGATCTGAACATATCCAACTCATGAGGAAAGAATGATTGGAAAATCACTTCATATCCCGCATTACGGTGCTCAGTCTGCTGGGGTCCAGTTGCACGCTAAGGAAGGCATGGCTTTTATCTAAAACCCTATGGGTCTGTTCTGCAACCCTTATATTTGGGCTTGTCAGAGACTCCATGTAGCTTCATTATCTATTACAGATACATCTAGCATCTCTGGATTTACTGAGTCATGTGGCTTAAGAGGCAGAACAGATTGTGCTACACAGCCCTCTGTTTCTCTGGATTCCACTTAAAACTGATAGTTTCCAAGTTCCCAATGTATTACTCTGTTTTCATGCTGCTGATAAAGACATACTGGAGACTGGGTAATTTATAAAGAAAAAGAGGTTTAATGGACTCACAGTTCCACGTGGCTGGGGAGGCCTCATAATCATGGTGGAAGGTGAAAGGCACATCTTACATGGCAGCAGGTAGGAGAGAATGAGAGCCAAGAGAAAGGGAAAACCCCTTATAAAACCCTCAGATCTCATGAGACTTATTCACTACCGCGAGAACAGTATGGGGGAAAACTGCCCCCGTGATTCAATTACCTCCCATAGGTCCCTCCCACAACACGTGGGAATTATGGGAGCTACACTTCAACATGAGATTTGGGTGGGGACACAGCCAAACCATATCACCCAATAAATAATGCTACCTCCAAAATCCATGAAGATCTGGGCTTCTGCCTTAGTAACTGGAGGTGCAACATGCAACCGTTTCTTCCCTACCTGTGGCATACCTCAATCCTCTAAGAACATCAATTTGTCAAGCCCCTGATTCTCCATGAAGTTTACCTACCATCTTCCATGATGCATGTATATTTCCAGGACATTTTGGATTATTTGTACTTTATTTTATCAAGGCTCATAAAGATGATGTCATCATTTAGTGAATCAGCATGATGCCTGCCTAATATCCAGATTAACGAAGTTCTCTATAGATTGCATTTTGATAAGGAACAAGACTTTTAACACAGACCAATGAATTTGTACTTCTGTCCTTACCAGGTACAGACAATTTGTTTTTGAACCTCCTTATTGATGTACGTTGCTCCTTCCTGGGAACTACCCTCTGGACTCACTAATCAGTAGCTCCTCCCACTTGGAAACCTTCCCCATCATCGTGCCCCAGGCTTCTGTTTCACGCCTGATAAACTTCCTTCACTTCTTTATCTTTATGTCATTCTACCTCTAACTCATCCTCATCCCAAAATGCATCATCCCTTTTAATTTCATAGTGTAGGTTTAAAATTTATTAAATCCAGGACTGAAATCATTAATAAAACAAAACTTGTTTTGCTCTATCCTCTTTCCTAGAGGGAAAGGAACATTAATCTTAAAACGCTGCAAGGAGTTTTTCTAATACAGCAAGAAAAATAAAGAAAAAAGAGACAAATTTCCATATTATACATATTGAACATTCATAGTCTGTCACTGTTGTTTTAAATATTTTCTCTGAAGAAGAAATAGTTTTACAGAGTAGAAATGGTCTAGGCTTTGGACTCAGACAGCCTTGGATTTGGTTTGTAGCTATTTTACAGATTTCACAACAGCAAGTTATGTTACATAATATCCCTGTTGAGTGGTTGCAAGAATAAATGAGATATATATGAAAATCATATATCACATGGTAGCATTTCATCAAACTTTCCATCTACCTATGCATGTGTTCCCAATGCATATTAGAATTAATTATCAAAGTTAGACTGCTTTGTGTTTTTAGAAGAAAAGATATCATTTCTTAGGGAAAACATGATTTCATTCTCAAATCCCATGAAAGCTATATGGTTCAGTATTTTCAATCTAAAACAGATACATAATCCACAATGCTTAGAAATGACCCTGAAAAAGTAGATCCAGAAACGTGACTCCTAGGATATCATTATACAGCGCATATATATCGCAATTTTGTCAAAAAGCAAAAACACAAAAACAAAACAGAAACCACCTACTGCATTTGAAATAAGGACAATTTAATTTTTATTTTTACAGATTTAGAAGGTACAAGTGCAGTTTTGTTACATGGATATATTATGTGCTGGTGAAGCCTGAGCTTTTAGTGTAATCATCACCCAAATAGTGCACATTGTACCCGAGAGGTAATTGCTCATCCTTCACCCCACTCCCACCCTCCCACCTTTCCAAGCCTCCAATGTCTATTATTCCACTCTCTATGTTCATGTGTACACATTGTTTAGCTCCCACTTATAAGTGAGAATATGCCGTATTTGACTTTCGTTTCTGAGTTACTTTACTTAAGATAAAGGCCTCCAGTTCCACTTATGTTTCTGAAAAAGACATAATTTCATTCTTTTTTATAGCTGAGTATTTTTTCATGGTATATATATATATATATATATCACGAAAATGTGTTTTTATATATGTGTATATATATATAATAACACATTTTCTTTATCCAATCATCCTTTGATGGACACTCAGGTTGATTCCATATCTTTGCTGCTTTGAGTAGTACACATATGAGTGCAGGTATATTTTGGTGTAATGATTACTTTTCTTCTGCGTAGATACACAGTACTGGGATGACTGGGTCAAATGGTACATCTATTTTTAGTTCTTTGAAAAATCTCCATACTGTTTTCCATAGAGGTTGCACTAATTTGCACTCCCACCAACAGTGTACAAAGCATTCCCTTGTCTCCACATCCTCACCACCATATTTTTTAATGCTGTAAGATATTATCTTATTATGGCTTTAATTTGATTTTTCTCTGATTAGTGATATTTAGCAGTTTTTCATATGCTTGTTGACTATTTGCATGTCTTCTTTGGAAAAATATGTGTTCATGTCATTTGCCCACTATTCAATGGGGCTACCTGTGTTTTTTCTTGTTGAGTTGTTTGAGTTCCCTGGACAACAATAATTTCGAGTTGGGGACTGGCTGCAAGGGTAATGGAAGGGCTGAGACACCAGTGAAATCACTGAGAGAAAACCCAGATATCATGAATCCCAGTAAGGAATTATTTCTCCGAGGCCAGAGTAGCAAAGAGAAGAGGCATTTACCAGAGCTCAGGGGCAGGGATTATTTGGTTAAAACTGAAGTAACAGTGGACCTTTCTGGACGGAGCCATGGAAAAATGTAGCCACTGTCTAAAGCCCTCAGACAGTGGGGAAGAGGATAGGGTCAGGGTGGATGGGTGGGAAGGTGTAGGGAATATTTACCTCTTCCCACTCTCCCCTGTGCTTCACAATATGAAACCAGATTGAACTCTGGGCAATGCAGCCTGCAAAGAATGCATAAGAATAAACACATTCCTGACCCAACCAGGAAATTCCCGTTAAGTGGCAACTGTATAGAGAGTAGGTAAGTAGTTTTAATTCCAGATGATGCGTTTAGAAATGTGCCATTGTGGACAAAGATGTGGACCTAAAATCAATTAACAGATAGTTGATATTAAAGTTGGAGACCTGAATGTAGTTGATGTTTTGATTTGTTTATGTTTATGTTCTGATTTGTCAACACAGAAATAAATGCTGACATTCTTGACACTTCACCTGGGCTTAAATTTTAAAGACAATTAAATTATCCATCTTTATATTTGGAAATTAGTATCTAGACCATAAAAAAGGTTTACTAGCTAATTTAAAAAACTATTTTAAATTGTGGTAAGAACGCTTAACGTAAGATCTATCTTCTTAACAAAATTTTCAATGTACAGTGCAATATGGTTGCCTATAGGTGGAATGCTATACAGAAGATGTCTAGAATTTATTCATCTTGCTTAACAGAAAATTTTCACCCATTGGCTAATAACTCCACTTGATATGGAGAACAAGACTAGGTAATTGTCTGGAACCATTGTGCTGTGCTGTTAGAATGAACACTGGACACGGTGGTATCGGTAAGCTTTGATCATTATTGATCAACATATCTTTTATGGATTGATCAACATGTTTTTGATATTGGCTGTATAGTATTGATGATTTCATATTTTAGATTAAATCTATAACCATGGTACTCACATATAGGGCATTATGTTACCATCAGAGCATCATTTTTAGGAATTTTATGGCATGAAAAAATTAGTGCTTTTCCTTCTCCAGATAATAAAAGATTTCAGCAACAGCTTTACATGTGTGCAAAGTTTTTGCAGACGCTGACTGATGCCTATTAAAATGGTAAAACTCTCAACAGGATTTGGTGCAACCAAAAGGACTCTACAGTATGCAGCAAGTGTACACTTTGTGATTCTGCAGTTTCAAACTTTAAAGGTGGCTTATTAGAGAGAAAACTTCACAAAGGCAATGTAGGAAAAGAAGTTATTAAGAATAAATCCAAATACCAGAAAGTTTAGTTTTATCATAAACATTTAGAGTTTTGAAACAAATTCTAAAGTATATTAATTAATTATTAAATTTTCTTAGTGGCCAAGTAAATGTTTGCACTAATGCTTACAATTTGAGAATCTTATTTTTCTTTCAACAAATGCTTCTTGAATTCATACTAATAGCCAGGTAAAATGCTTAGAAATTCAAAAATATAGCCCATATTTCCATTCTAGACTGTTGTATGTTGGAGAAAGTATCACAAAAGACTGAAATGCAAAGATTAAAATAATAATGAATGGTAAGCCAGCATTTTGGGACATCTATTATATTTCAAAAAATTTTAATTGATACTTTGCATTAAAATATTTTAGCTAACATCCACAATAATACTATGGATTGTCTTTATACTCCCTAGTTTACTGATGAGAAGCTGACAGGCAAGAATTTAGTTAACTTGTGCAAGGACACACAGCTGGTAAGCAGAAGAGCCCGGAAGCAACCCACACACATTCTGTTGTATTTCAACATGTATGTGACTGACCTCTACATTTCACAGCAAGACTTCTTAACACCATGACTTGGGTACAGATAAATTCAGTGAGAGTTTATGTGAGAGATAACTGAGGTCTCAAAAGTATCAGGTGTTTTTCTATGTAAAAATAACACCATATTACAAAATAGAAAAATTTTTAATCACCGTAGAAATTCTTCAAAATATGCTTTACTATCCATAATGCTTCATTTTAATAGTAAAAATTGAGAATATCAATAATAACCACAAAGATTTAAAAACTATTAAAACCTAAACTAGAAAGTAGGAAACAGATAGATAGAAAACCCATTGGCTTAGATGTAAAGGGCAGTGCCTGGGAAAAAAAAGTACTTGTCAAATAACAAGCTGATAAAACTTGAAGTTTAGTTTTAATTTTCCAGTTTGATATAAAAATAATAATTGATTTTGAGGAGCCAACAACTTCTTGTTCATTCTGTTCAATAAAAAACAAACTCAAGCTACAAAAAAGCAGAAAGAAGTAGAATTCAAAAATAGAAGCAAAGGGCAACAAATAGAAAAGAATAAAAAATATTATAGACAGTAATCCAACTATATCAGTAATCGCTTGGAGTATCAATGGTCTAAATGCACCAATTGAAAGTCAGAAATTGGCAGAGTGGATCAAAAAACAAGACTCAACTATATATTGTTTGCAAGAAATCCAATTTAAATATAAAGATACCTATAGATCAAAAGTAAATAAATAGAGAAAAATACACCATACTAACATTAGTCAAGAGAAAGCAGGAGTAGTTATGTGAATTCAGAGCAGACATTAGAGCTATGAGACAAACACTGATAGAACCACAAAGAGAAACAAATTCACTATTATAGTTGAACACTTTAATGTCCCTCTACCACAAATGGACAGAACCTGCAGGCATGTTCTCACTCATAGGTGGGAACTGAACAATGAGAACACATGGACACAGGAAGGGGAACATCACACAGCGGGGCCTGTTGTGGGGTGGGAGGGAGTGGGGAGGGATAGCATTAGGAGATATACCTAATGTAAATGACGAGTTAATGGGTGCAGCACACCAACATGGCACATGTATACATATGTAACAAACCTGCACGTTGTGCACATGTACCCTAAAACTTAAAGTATAATAATAATAATAAAAAGACATTTTCAGACTAACAAGTGATATTTACAAAAACATACAGCTAACATTACATTTAATGGTGAGAAAGTGGAAACTTTTGTGCTAAGATGAAAAACAAGGCAAGGATATTACCTCTCACCACTTCTTTTCAACAGCACACTGGAAGCCCTAACTAATGCAATGAGAAAATAAATAAATAAGTAAATAAATAAATAATAAATAAATAAAACACACCAATAGAGTAAAAAAGCTGTCTTTGTTTGCAGTTGACATGATTATTTATGTAGAAAATCAAAAATAATCAACAACAATAACTTAATAACACCAACAAAACCTCCTGAAACTAACTTATCATAAGGTGGCAAAACATAAAGTTAATATACGAAACCCTATTGCTTTCCTATATACCAGCAATGAACAAGTACAATTTTAAATTATAAGCATAATACCATTTACATGAGCACACCCAAAATGAAATACCGAAGATATAAATCTAAGAAAATATGTACAAGATTTATAGGAGGAAAATGACAAAACTCTGATGAAAAAAATCAAAGAACTAAATAAATAGAGACATCTCATGTTCATGGATAGAGAGGCTAAATACTGGCAGTTCTTCCCATCTGAATCTATACATTAAATGCAACCCCAATCAAAATTCCAGCAAGTTATTTTAGTGTATATTGACAAACTGATTCTATGGAAAGGCAAAAGACTCACAATAACCATCACAATATTGAAGGAGAATAACAAAGCTGGAGGACAGATATTACCAGATTTCAAGACTTACTATAAAGCTACAGTAATCAAGACAGTGTGGTATTGGTAAAACAACAGACAAACATGTCAAAGAAACAGAATGAGGAGCCCAGAAGTAGACCTACATAAATAGAGCCAACTGATCTTTGACAAAGGAGCAAAGACGATGGAGCAAAAACAGTCTTTTCTACAAATAGTACTATAACAACTGAACATCCACATGCAAAAATAAATAAACCTAGACACAGACCTTATACTCTTCACAAAAATTAACTCAAAGTGGATTCTAAAACACAAAATTATAAAACTCCTAGAAGATAACATAGGAGAAAAATCTAGATTAGCAAGAGTTTGGCAATGACTTTTTAGATATACCAAAAGCATAATCTCTGAGAGAAACAATTGATAAACTGAACTTCATTACAATTAAAAAGTTCTGCTCCATGAGAGGCACTGTCAGAAGAATTACATTCTCATGTGGGAGGCCATATCTGATAAGGGACTGCTATTCAAAATATAGAAAGAATCCCTTAAATCTAAACGATAAAAAAAAAAAACTTAATTAAAAAATGGTCCAAAGACCTAAATAGACACCCAACCAAAGAAAATATACAGATGGCAAATAAGCACGTGAAAGATGCTCCATACCATACGTCCTCAGGGAAATGCAAATTAAAACAATGAGATATTACTACTCACTTATTGTAATGGCCAAGCTCCAGATCCAACACCAAATGCTAGTGAGGTTAAAGAACAATGAATTCTCTTTCGTTGCTGATGGGAATGCAAAATGGCAGTCACTTTGGAAGAGAGTTTGACCGTTTCTTACCAAACTAAACATTCTTTTATTATATGATACTATAATCACTCTCCTTGGTATTTACCCAAAGAAGATGAAAACATGTCTACATAAAAACTTGCACTTAGAGCATTTCTATTCATAATTGCTAAAACTTAGAAGAAATTTAGATAGCCTAGAATAGGCGAAGGAATAAGCCGTTGTACATCCAGACAATGGAAATTTTCTCAGCGTTAAAAAGAAATAAGCTTTCAAGCCATAAAATCATGTGGAAGAAACTTAAATGCATATTACCAAGTGAAAAAAGCCAAATTGAAAAGGCTACATAATACACGATTCCAACTATATGACTTTTTTTTTTTTTTTTTAGACAGAGTCTCGCTCTCTCGCCAGGCTGGAGTGCAGTGGCGCAATCTCGGCTCACTGCAACGTCAACTCCCTGGTTCAAGTGATTCTCCTGCCTCAGCCCTCTGAGTAGCTGGGATTACAGGCAAGCATCACCACACCCAGCTAATTTTTGTATTTTTGTTAGAGACAGGGTTTCACCATGTTGGCCAGGATGGTCTCGAACTCCTGACCTCGTTGATCTGCCTGCCTCGGCCTCCCAAAGTGCTGGAATTACAGGCGTGAGCCACTATATGACATTTTTTTAAAGGCAAACTATGGAGACAGTAAAAATAATCAATGGTTGCCCAGACTTAAGAGAGAGGGAGACTGAATAGGTGGAGCACAGAGAACGTTTAGGACAAGAAACCTACCCTGTATAATGCCGTAATTGTGTGTACACATCATTATACATTTCTCCAAGCCCACAGAATGTCTAACACCTAAGGTAAATTTGGGGTGAGAATGATGTGTCAATGGAGGTTAATCAGTTGTAACACATTTACCACTCTTGTGGGGGCTTTTGATAATGGGGGAGGCTATGCCTGTATGGGGGCAGTGGATATATAGGAAATCTCTATACCTCTGCTTAATTTTGCTGTGATCCTAAAACTGGTCTAAAAAATAAAGTATGTTCAAAATAAAAAGCAAAGGCATTCAAGAGATAATGTTGAATTTCACAAATCATAGTTTTCTCCCCTTTGGCAATCTGTTTGTGTGGGGTTTCACTCCACGTTCTGGGAAACATCAATAACCACAACCCTGAGGCTTTGATGAAATATGCAGGATCTTTTGCAGTCAGAAGCCGCACAGATTTGTACTGTGAGTTTGCACATCACGGATATTTTCTTTATTTCTACAGAAATGGATTTAGTGAGAGCATTTTTTGATAAATTTAGCAAAGGTCACTAAAAATTAGTAGCACGATGTGTCATCTGAAAGTTCATGGCATGCCTGGTGGTAGGCTTCGGGGAGTTTTTTTTTTTTAAAGTTTCCTACCAGTTTCTTAGAAATATCAGCACTTTTCATCAGTCAGGGAAAGATCAGAAATATCTACCAAATGCCTTTTTACTGGGTTGAGCAAGTGTTAACCTCCAATCTTATAATTTTGTCTTCTTAAGAGAACACTATCGTTGCCTCTCTTGCATGACTGTGTAAATTCTTCACATTCATCCATCGAAAAAAACAGGAATAAGGTAGATTGCATGCTCACTTTACTGAGTACTAAACTGTTTTTCCCGTGCTCTAAAGAATAGCTGATAATTAACTGTCTTTAAACTTAACACTTGAGAAGAGCTTAGTGTGAGGAAAAAAGGCAAATTTAGGTTTTACAAAAAATAATTCTTCAACTGTATGTTCTTATTTTGTCAGAGAACAGGCCAGGACAATTTACATTCTCGAAAGCCCTGGGCGTTCATTCTAAATAGCAAAGGTTAGACAGAAGGTTGTGACCCTTTCTGCTTGTTTTAGCACAATCTGCCCATGTGATAGAATTATAGCCTTACAAAAAAATCTACAATGGAAATAGCTCCAATGTGGAGCAAATGCTCTGAAGGACAGAGTAAAATTGCTTTTTAATATGTGCCATTATTATAAAAATAACTTTATTAATATCAAGTTGAGAAAATAATAATTGCAATAAACTAATTTTGCTTTTTCTAACTCTATGCAATTTTATAATTTAATTTAAATAAACATATCAATACAAATTCTTATGCTTTTTTCTATACGTCAACTACATATTAGAATTATGATTCATATCTGATTATGGTCATTGATATATTTTACTTTACACAAAGGTTATTTTTCTCTGATTTTGAGTTTTAGAGAATAGTCTACACGCACATAGGCTCACATGCATGAATATATACACACACACATACATGTATCTAAACACACATATGGAAATATATACATTTGATCCTTGAACAACATGGGGGTTACTGACTCAGAGTTGAAATTTTTGACTCCTCAAAAACTTAACTACTAAGGGGGGAGGAGCAAAGATGGCCGAATAGGAACAGCTCCGGTCTACAGCTCCCAGCGTGAGCGACGCAGAAGACGGTGATTTCTGCATTTCCATCTGAGGTACTGGGTTCATCTCACTAGGCAGTGCCAGACAGTGGGCTCAGGTCAGTGGGTGCGCGCACCGTGTGCGAGCGGAAGCAGGGCGAGGCATTGCCTCACTTGGGAAGCGCAAGGGGTCAGGGAGTTCCCTTTCTGAGTCAAAGAAAGGGGTGACCGACGGCACCTGGAAAATCAGGTCACTCCCACCCGAATACTGCACTTTTCCGACGGGCTTAAAAAATGGCACACCAGGAGATTATATCCTGCACCTGGCTTGGAGGGTCCTACGCCCACGGAGTCTCGCTGATTGCTAGCACAGCAGTCTGAGATCAAACTGCAAGGCGGCAGCGAGGCTGGGGGAGGGGCGCCCACCATTGCCCAGGCTTGATTAGGTAAACAAAGCAGCCAGGAAGCTCGAACTGGGTGGAGCCCACCACAGCTCAAGGAGGCCTGCCTGCCTCTGTAGGCTCCACCTCTGGGGGCAGGGCACAGACAAACAAAAAGACAGCAGTAACCGCTGCAGACTTAAATGTCCCTGTCTGACAGCTTTGAAGAGAGCAGTGGTTCTCCCAGCACGCAGCTGGAGATCTGAGAACGGGCAGACAGCCTCCTCAAATGGGTCCCTGACCCCTGACCCCTGAGTAGCCTAACTGGGAGGCACCCCCCAGCAGGGGCACACTGACATCTCACACGGCAGGGTACTCCAACAGACCTGCAGCTGAGGGTCCTCTCTGTTAGAAGGAAAACTAACAAACAGAAAGGACATCCACACCAAAAACCCATCTGTACATCACCATCATCAAAGACCAAAAGTAGATAAAACCACAAAGATGGGGAAAAAACAGAACAGAAAAACTGGAAACTCTAAAAAGCAGAGCGCCTCTCCTCCTCCAAAGGAACGCAGTTCGTCACCAGCAATGGAACAAAGCTGGATGGAGAATGACTTTGACGAGCTGAGAGAAGAAGGCTTCAGACGATCAAATTACTCTGAGCTACGGGAGGACATTCAAACCAAAGGCAAAGAAGTTGAAAACTTTGAAAAAAAATTTAGAAGAATGTATAACTAGAATAACCAATACAGAGAAGTGCTTAAAGGAGCTGATGGAGCTGAAAACCAAGGCTCGAGAAATACGTGAAGAATGCAGAAGCCTCAGAAGCCAATGTGATCAACTGGAAGAAAGGGTATCAGTGATGGAAGATGAAATGAATGAAATGAAGTGAGAAGGGAAGTTTAGAGAAAAAGAATAAAAAGAAATGAGCAGAGCCTCCAAGAAATATGGGACTATGTGAAGAGACCAAATCTACATCTGATTGGTGTACCTGAAAGTGATGGGGAGAATGGAACCAAGTTGGAAAACACTCTGCAGGATATTATCCAGGAGAACTTCCCCAATGTAGAAAGGCAGGCCAACGTTCAGATTCAGGAAATACAGAGAATGCCACAAAGATACTCCTTGAGAAGAGCAACTCCAAGACACATAATTGTCAGATTCACCAAAGTTGAAATGAAGGAAAAAATGTTAAGGGCAGCCAGAGAGAAAGGTCGGGTTACCCTCAAAGGGAAGCCCATCAGACTAACAGCAGATCTCTCGGCAGAAACCCTACAAGCCAGAAGAGAGTGGGGGCCGATATTCAACATTCTTAAAGAAAAGAATTTTCAACCCAGAATTTCATATCCAGCCAAACTAAGCTTCATAAGTGAAGGAGAAATAAAAAACTTTACAGACAAGCAAATGCTGAGAGATTTTGTCACCACCAGGCCTGCCTTACAAGAGCTCCTGAAGGAAGCACTAAACATGGAAAGGAACGACCGGTACCAGCCGCTGCAAAATCATGCCAAAATGTAAAGACCATCGAGACTAGGAAGAAACTGCATCAACTAAAGAGCAAAATAACCAGCTAACATCACAATGACAGGATCAAATTCACACATAACAATATTAACTTTAAATGTAAATGGACTAAATGATCCAATTAAAAGACACAGACTGGCAAATTGGATAAAGAGCCAAGACCCATCAGTGTGTTGTATTCAGGAAACCCATCTCACGTGCAGAGACACACATAGGCTCAAAATAAAAGGATGGAGGAAGATCTACCAAGCCAATGGAAAACAAAAAAAGGGTTGCAATCCTAATCTCTGATAAAACAGACTTTAAACCAACAAAGATCAAAAGAGACAAAGAAGGCCATTACATAATGGTAAAGGGATCAATTCAACAAGAAGAGCTAACTCTCCTAAATATATATGCACCCAATACAGGAGCACCAAGATTCATAAAGCAAGTCCTGAGTGACCTACAAAGAGACTTAGACTCCCACACATTAATAATGGGAGACTTTAACACCCCACTGTCAACATTAGACAGATCAACGAGACAGAAAGTCAACAAGGATACCCAGGAATTGAACTCAGCTCTGCACCAAGTGGACCTAATAGACATCTACAGAACTCTCCACCCCAAATCAACAGAATATACATTTTTTTTCAGCACCACACCACACCTATTCCAAAATTGACCACATACTGGGAAGTAAAGCTCTCCTCAGCAAATGTAAAAGAACAGAAATTATAACAAACTATCTCTCAGACCACAGTGCAATCAAACTAGAACTCAGGATTAAGAATCTCACTCAAAACCGCTCAACTACATGGAAACTGAACAACCTGCTCCTGAATGACTACTGGGTACGTAACGAAATGAAGGCAGAAATAAAGATGTTCTTTGAAATCAACGAGAACAAAGACGCAACATACCAGAATCTCTGGGATGCATTCAAAGCAGTGTGTAGAGGGAAATTTATAGCACTAAATGCCCACAAGAGAAAGCAGGAAAGATCCAAAATTGACACCCTAACATCACAATTAAAAGAACTAGAAAAGCAAGAGCAAACACATTCAAAAGCTAGCAGAAGGCAAGAAATAACTAAAATCAGAGCAGAACTGAAGGAAATAGAGACACAAAAAAACCTTCAAAAAATTAATGAAACCAGGAGCTGGTTTTTTGAAAGGATCAACAAAATTGATAGACCGCTAGCAAGACTAATAAAGAAAAAAAGAGAGAAGAATCAAATAGACACAATAAAAAATGATAAAGGGGATGTCACCACCGATCCCATAGAAATACAAACTACCATCAGAGAATACTACAAACACCTCTACGCAAATAAACTAGAAAATCTAGAAGAAATGGATAAATTCCTGGACACATACACTCTCCCAAGACTAAACCAGGAAGAAGTTGAATCTCTGAATAGACCAATAACAGGAGCTGAAATTGTGGCAATAATCAATAGTTTACCAACCAAAGAGTCCAGGACCAGATGGATTCACAGCTGAATTCTACCAGAGGTACAAGGAGGAACTGGTACCATTCCTTCTGAAACTATTCCAATCAATAGAAAAAGAGGGAATCCTCCCTAACTCATTTTATGAGGCCAGCATCATCCTGATACCAAAGCCAGGCAGAGACACAACAAAAAAAGAGAATTTTAGACCAATATCCTTGATGAACATTGATGCAAAAATCCTCAATAAAATACTGGCAAAACGAATCCAGCAGCACATCAAAAAGCTTATCCACCATGATCAAGTGGGCTTCATCCCTGGGATGCAAGGCTGGTTCAATATACGCAAATCAATAAATGTAATCCAGCATATAAACAGAGCCAAAGACAAAAACCACATGATTATCTCAATAGATGCAGAAAAAGCCTTTGACAAAATTCAGCAACCCTTCATGCTAAAAACTCTCAATAAATTAGGTATTGATGGGACGTATTTCAAAATAATAAGAGCTATCTATGACAAACCCACAGCCAATATCATACTGAATGGGCAAAAACTGGAAGCATTCCCTTTGAAAACTGGCACAAGACAGGGATGCCCTCTCTCACCACTCCTATTCAACATAGTGTTGGAAGTTCTGGCCAGGGCAATTAGGCAGGAGAAGGAAATAAAGGGTATTCAATTAGGAAAAGAGGAAGTCAAATTGTCCCTGTTTGCAGATGACATGATTGTATATCTAGAAAACCCCATTGTCTCAGCCTAAAATCTCCTTAAGCTGATAAGCAACTTCAGCAAAGTTTCAGGATACAAAATCAATGTACAAAAATCACAAGCATTCTTATACACCAACAACAGACAAACAGCCAAATCGTGAGTGAACTCCCATTCACAATTGCTTCAAAGAGAATAAAATACTTAGGAATCCAACTTACAAGGGATGTGAAGGACCTCTTCGAGGAGAACTACAAACCACTGCTCAAGGAAATAAAAGAGGATACAAACAAATGGAAGAACATTCTATGCTCATGGGTAGGAAGAATCAAGATCGTGAAAATGGCCATACTGCCCAAGGTAATTTACAGATTCAATGCCATCCCCATCAAGCTACCAATGACTTTCTTCACAGAATTGGAAAAAACTACTTTAAAGTTCATATGGAACCAAAAAAGAGCCCGCATCGCCAAGTCAATCCTACGCCAAAAGAACGAAGCTGGAGGCATCACACTACCTGACTTCAAACTATACTACAAGGCTACAGTAACCAAAACAGCATGGTACTGGTACCAAAACAGAGATATAGATCAATGGAACAGAACAGAGCCCTCAGAAATAACGCCGCATATCTACAACTATCTGATCTTTGACAAACCTGAGAAAAACAAGCAATGGGGAAAGGATTCCCTATTTAATAAATGGTGCTGGGAAAACTGGCTAGCCATATGTAGAAAGCTGAAACTGGATCCCTTCCTTACACCTTATACAAAAATCAATTCAAGATGGATTAAAGGCTTAAACGTTAGACCTAAAACCATAAAAACCCTAGAAGAAAACCTAGGCATTACCATTCAGGACATAGGCATGGGCAAGGACTTCATGTCTAAAACACCAAAAGAAATGGCAACAAAAGACAAAATTGACAAAAGGGATCTAATTAAACTAAAGAGCTTCTGCACAGCAAAAGAAACTACCATCAGAGTGAACAGGCAACCTACAAAATGGGAGAAAATTTTCACAACTTACTCATCTGACAAAGGGCTAATATCCAGAATCTACGATGAACTCAAACAAATTGACAAGAAAAAAACAAACAACCCCATCAAAAAGTGGGTGAAGGACATGAACAGACACTTCTCAAAAGAAGACATTTATGCAGCCAAAAAACACATGAAAAAATGCTCATCATCACTGGCCATCAGAGAAATGCAAATCAAAACCACAATGAGATACCATCTCACACCAGTTAGAATGGCGATCATTAAAAAGTCAGGAAACAACAGGTGCTGGAGAGGATGTGGAGAAATAGGAACACTTTTACACTGTTGGTGGGACTGTAAACTAGTTCAACCATTGTGGAAGTCAGTGTGGCAATTCCTCAGGGATCTAGAACTGGAAATACCATTTGACCCAGCCATCCCATTACTGGGTATATACACAAAGGACTATAAATCATGCTGCTATAAAGACACATGCACACGTATGTTTATTGCGGCATTATTCACAATAGCAAAGACTTGGAACCAACCCAAATGTCCAACAATGATAGACTGGATTAAGAAAATGTGGCACATATACACCATGGAATACTATGCAGCCATAAAAAGGATGAGTTCATGTCCTTTGCAGGGACATGGATGAAATTGGAAATCATCATTCTTAGTAAACTATCGCAAGAACAAAAAACCAAACACCGCATATTCTCACTCATAGGTGGGAATTGAACAATGAGATCACATGGACACAGGAAGGGGAATATCACACTCTGGGGACTGTTGTGGGGTGGGGGGAGGGGGGAGGGATAGCATCGGGAGATATACCTAATGCTAGATGACGAGTTAGTGGGTGCAGCGCACCAGCATGGCACATGTATACATATGTAACTAACCTGCACAATGTGCACATGTACCCTAAAACTTAAAGTATAATAAAAAAAAAAGACAAAAAAAAAAAAACTTAACTACTAATAGTCTACTGTTGACCTGTAGCCTTACTGATAACATAGTTGACTAATGCATATTTTGCATGTTATATGTATTACATACTATACTCACTATACTTTTACAAAAAACCTGAGACTAGAGAAAAGAAAATGTTATTTTGAAACATCACAAGGAAGCCAGGCATGATGTCCTGTGACCTGCTTCAACATCCCAGCTACTTGGGAGGCTGAGGCAGGAGGATCATTTGAGCCCAGGAGTTTGAGGCCAGCCTCGGCAAAATAGAGAGACCCCCCACAACTAAAAAAAAAAAAAAAGAGAGAGACAGAGGAAATAAATTTACTATTAAGTGGAAGTGGATCATCACAAGGGTCTTAATTCTCATCTTCTTCACATTGAGCAGAAGAGGAGGAAGAAGAGGGCTTGGTCTTGCTGTCTCAGGGGTGGCAGAGAGGGAAAAAATCTGCTTATGAGTGGACCATGCAATTCAAACCCATGTTGTTTAAGGGTTAACTGTTTATAAATATACAGTTATCTGTTGATGATTTCTTATAAACAACCATGTTCTCATACCATGGGCATTTATTGACATTCAGCCAAGTAATGGTTAACAAAAGTAGGATTTTCTACTTGGACAAATTCCAGTCTTTTAGATGCTGCCATTAAAAAAAAGGGCAGCAAGAACTCAAATGTAATTCATAAATGTATATTTACATATATAATATTTTAAATGTATATTTTATAGTTTATGGTTATATCACATATATAATGATATGATATATATATATATTTGAGATAGAGTCTTGCCCTGTCACCCAGCCTGGAATGCAGTTGTATGATCACAGCTCACTGCAGCCTTGAACTCCTGGGCTTAAGCAAAACTCCTGCCTCAGCCTCCAGAGTAGCTGGGATCACAGGCATGCCACCATGCCTGGCTATTATATTTTTATTTATATTTTATAGGTATTTTGTGTGTTCTGGATTTTTGTCATTGTTTTAAATTATTTTTTATTGTACATGCTTATGGGATACAACATGATGTTTTGACATATGTGTACATTCTGAAATAATTAAATCAAGCTAATTAACATATCACACATACTTATTTTTGTGTTGTGGGAACATTTAAAACCTACTTTCAGCAATTTTCAAGGGTAGAGTACATTATTGTTACTACATCCGCCAAATAGATCTCCAGAATATAGTTCTCCTAACTGAAACTTTGTACACTTCGACCGACACATTCTCATACCATTCTACTTTCTGCTTCTATGGGTTCGACTTGTTTACATCCCACATTTAAGTGGGATCATACAGTATTGTGTTTCTATGCCTGGCTTATTTATCTTAGAATAATGTCCTCCAGGATCATCTATGGTTTTGTGACTGACAGGACTTTCTCCTTTTCTCAGCTGAATTGTATTCCACTGTGACAAAGGGGCAAGGCCAAGACAGAATGTCCTGGGGGACCTGTCACCGGACGCATGCAAGGAATGGAAAAGAAATACATTTTGAAATGTACATAATTAAAAATTGAATGAATAAAGTATGAATTGAAAATTTTCTCTCAAGTAATGGAAATTCTCTCTTTTCAAAAATATATGATATAATAAAGCATATACAGAAATCAGTACATTAACTTTGGTGGAAAATTTCATAAAATAGAATTTATCAGAATTACTGCATGTGTAGGGCACAAATCTGAAGCAGCTCCAAAAACAGCAAGCATGTAAGTAACAAACCCTGTGTGAAAAACGAGATCAGCCGGGCATGGGGGCTCACGCCTGTAATCCCAGCACTTTGGGAGGCTGAGGAGGAGGGATCACCTGAAGTCAGGAGTTCAAGACCACCCTGGACAACATGGTGAAACCAGTTTCTACTAAAAATACAAAAATTAGCCGGACCTAGTGGCGGGGGCACCTATAGTCCCAGCAGGAGAATCGCTTGAACCCCAGAGGCAGAGGTTGCAGTGAGCCAAGATCGCACCACTGCACTCCAACCTGGGTGACAAAGCGAGACTCCGTCTCGAAAACAACAACAGCAACAAAAAAAAGAAAAAACAAGTTTTTCCTAAATTTGAAAACAATCCTTGAAATTTTTATGTTTCATTAACAAGTTATAATGCTAAAAATACTTTTCTAAACACTGTTTAAAATAAATCAACCATACTAGTAGAAAAATAGAATTATCTTTCCTTTTTATAGAAAGTGACATTACAAAAGCGCTGCCATTGGAAGAGGAGATTAAATACTATTCAGCCAAAAACATAGGAAAAGAAGGACTATGGAACAATATCCGGCAAAACAACATAAAAACACGTGATTTTCTAGACTTTGTGAAGATTAGATATTTGTTAGTTTTTCAAAAGCTAGTATTATTATTTCTCTTCTCGTTCTAAATAAATATGCATTTCTCTATGTAATTTGGCATTTATGATTATGTATGTCGCAAATTGTACAAATACATCCTATTAGAACCAAATCTAATGTATTCTAATTCAATGTCTCATTAGCTGTGTCCCCAATACACTTTTTCATATCAACTAACATGAGATGAGTGGAAGAGGGGAAGTCAGAGTGAAAAAACCAGTTGTGGTTAAAATATCTTATTTTGTAGCAATATCTGACTACATGAAGGCGCTTGAACAATGGAAGCAAGTCCATGCGCTCCTCCGTCCGTCCTGCTCTGCTGCACCTGCGTATCCGCCGGCTCTCTCCACAGTTCCACGGGCAGGTGCACAGTTACTCAACCGTCAGCGCGGTTAGTGCACATCAGGCACTGTGCTAGGTGCGGGGTCGCAACGGCAAGCGAAACCAATTCTCTGTTCTCACAGAGCTTTTCCCTCAAGTAGAGAGCAAGCGAATACGAAAATAACCATGATCACCGTAAATAGTTGTATAAGCTTTGCGGAAAATAAAACACGGCGCGACAGAAATGCCCAGGGCCATGCAGCTTGGGATGGTCTCCGAAGGGGACTCTGTCAAGATGATCTTCGGAGACTCCATAAACAGGCTGAACACACATAAACCAGCCCTGTAGATGTTTGAGGAGACATTGTTGCCAGTGGAGCAAACGGCAAGTGCAAAACTCAGGGGCGGGCTAGTTTTAGGGGATCGGGGGGTGCAGGAACGGTGGAGTGGCCAGGGGCAGGATGAAGGGGCGCGGCAGGAGATGAGGGCTGAGCAGCAGCAGTGGGCTTTCAGGGCCAGGCTAGTAAGGCTTCTGGATGTTATTCTAAACGCAATGGGCTAGTCCTTCTGAATGCCCCAAAGGCACTTCAAATTCAATCTATCCAAAACCAAATTCATCATCTTTCTACCACAGGTATATTTATGCTTCCATGTGGCTGGTATCTGTTAAGAAAATCATCTCCCCTCACTTGGACAACCTAAAAAAGTTCCTATTCTTCCCTGATGATTGATGCTAGTCTATTACCAAATGCTATCGATTGGTTCTTCCTCCTAAATGTCCTTCACTAGGAACTCTTTTACATGCCACTGCCCAAGCTCCAGCTTACCCGTCTCTTACCCCTCCCTCTCTCACCTGGATCTCACCTCTCACCTCAGTTTGCTCTCAAAAGGCCCACTGCTCCTAGTTTTACTGCCTTGAGTTCCGCCTTCCACAGCAGCTGCCACGAGCTTTTGAAACCAGCATCTGTCATCTCTCTCTGAGTATAGACTGCAGTCTGTACCCTCAGGCCTGGAATCCAGAGCCTTTAGGTCAGCCTCTTACCTACAGTTCCAGTCTCCAACCTGTCAACCTGTCAAACACATTCATTCTCCAACAAAACCTAAGTGCTTCCAATTTTCTTTATGCCCCACTGTTTCTAAACTCGATGCTTTTGTGCATGCTGTTTCTGACATTTGGAATCACCCACCCCCTGGCTGTGCCCCTGCAGAATTCATCCTTAAAAACTGAGTTTCAGTGTCATGTTTTACAAATTCTTCCCCTGAACAGTCACACTTTCTCTCCATCTCTCTCTCTTTCTCTCTCTCTCTCTCACACAAACACACACACACCCCACCACCTCCACGTGCCTCCTCTCTGCCTCTGTGCCACCTCTGCTGTATTTTGCGTCCCGCATGACTTTAGAATTATAGTCTCTCAGTGCTGATATCCTTATAATGATTCTATACCCCTGCCTCAGGCTGTATGTGATGAGGACCCTGCAGAGCTTGTGCCTCAGCAGTACTACTATCAATCATCATAATAAAATGTTAAACTTACAGGGAATGTAAAGACCATTAAGGCCATCCCTTCGTATTACAAATGAGGAAACTGAAAACCAGAAAGTTTAAGCGCTAAGGTCACCACAGTGTTTTTAGAACCTAGAATGGCCTCAAATTCCCTAACTGCTGAGCTTTCAGGCACCACTTTCTTGTCTCTCATCTTCACTCCCATGGATGACACCTTAAATGAAGGGCTGATGAACAGCTATGGATCCAGGTATTTTATTTATACCAAGAACTTGATCAATATTTGTAGAATGAATGAATGAAACAACAGGATTTGCTTGTAATAATCTAGTTGATCCCGTCAACAACTGAGGGTTGCTATGAACCCACTTACTGCTTCACTCATTAATTCTTTTGTGAAATGCTTGTTCACCACTTTTAACATGTTTATATGCCAAATACCATACTTTGTGTAGAAAAGGAAAATCCAACAGGGAACATGGTCTTTGCACTCCAAAAAACCACAGAGAAATAGACATATAATCCAAACTTTAAAGCAGAGTTAAAAGGGTTGTCATAGAAGTGTGAATAAACCAAGTATGTATTTTTAGAAAAGATCAACAAAGTTTTTTAGAGAAGATAATATTTGAGCTACCCATTTATTATTGCCAAGCACTAAGCTTGTTAACAAAAATAAAAGAGGGAAACAAAAGCATAAATAACAAAATGATCAACCTGTGTTAGTCAGCTTGAATTAATCTCGTCACTTATAACACTAACTTATTCTATAAAATTAAAGATGAGTCAGTGATATTCACATGCCCATGACATTTAGAATTACTTAATTTTCCACTTTATGTATTATTAGTCTAGTTTAGTCTTGAGCACTTCAGCTTTGAAGTTTAATTTTAATTTTCTTTCTGAACCCCTTGAAATTGGAATATGTCCAGAATCTGTTTCTGATTCCCCCTCTACTGATAGGAACAACATGCTGACTTTACTTGCCACAAGAATGTTGCTATGATGAGGTTCTACAAAAATTGGTTTGGCAAATTGAAATAAAATGCAAATTTTCGTCTGCTCTTAAAATAAGACTGTATCCTGTTTCACCGTTTAACAAAGCCTGACAAACATTTTTCACTTGGTTTTTTATATTTGTTTGCTTGATCTGTGTCCAAAGGTAATATGCACATGAGCTAAACCATTCTTGGTCATGAATTTCTGGAAATCTAAAAAAGAAATGATTTTTGGACATCACTAGCTTGATTTCCCAACATAAAAGTTTATAGTGTGTGCATTAACAACCCAGAACTCTAGCCATATATTTGAGTTTGGCTTGTTTATTGTACAGAGAGCCTCTCATCATTCTTCAACAGTCATTTTAAAACAATTAATTCTCTCACTTGTTCCTACTACTGAAGAGAAAGACGTCGTGGCATTTTTCTTCCTTTAATGTGAGAACCATCTCATAAAATGAAGAAATATTGTTAGTTCTAGTAATCGAACTTTTCAAAAGAACACATAAAAATATATTTAATGTAGAAATAGAAGAGTATAATCATCATTAGATATGCAGCTGTTATATCTATATACATATATAACGCATATGTATATAATGTAAGCATTTATAATAACGTTTAAAATAATGTATCATAAATTTGCATTATTTTTTAAAGTACTACGAAATGCATGCCTCAATATACCCTCACAATTCAGTTATTTATGTGAAAACATTGAAACTAAATGACTTACCCAAGGTCACGCAGCTAAGTTATTCACTAAACCGGGCTGTATTAAGAGAACGTTTAGACCATGTTGAAGATTATTCTTATATATACAGATTCACTCCTTACGCACAATCTTTTGTTTTGTGTTTAAATTTCCAAAGGGCATTTTTGACTTTTACGTTGGCTTAGTTCAAGTGGAAATTAATTTCCTCTTGACGAGCATTATGAGTTTTTAAATATTCCCTGTGCACACATTTGCCGAAAAGATTATTTGGATTACATATGTTCATGGCAGAGATATCTAAGCTATATTTTTTTTTATTGAGATGGAGTCTTGTTCTGTTGCCAGGCTGGAGTGCAGTGGCGCATTCTCGGCTCACTGCAAGCTCCGACTCCATGGTTCAAGCAATTCTCCTGCCCCAGCCTCCCGAGTAGCTGGGATTACAGACACGTGCTACCACGTCCAGCTGATATGTATTTTTAGTAGAGATGGGGTTTCACCATGTTGGCCAGGATGGTCTCCATCTGTTGACCTCATGATCTGCCCGCCTTGGCCTCCCAAAGTGCTGGGATTACAGGCATGAGCCACCGCACCCGGGCCTAAGCTTTGATCATGCATACATATCTTTATATAACTAGCACCATTTGAAGTTAATGAGATCAGTATTCTATCGTGACTTTTGGAAACGAGTTTACAACTTTGTGGTTTTGCTATGTTTTACATCTTACTTAAATATTATTTTGGTCTTATATTTTTAATCCTGTGCATTTGATAGCTGTGTGAGACAATTTTATATAAATAGCCATATCAAAAAAATCTCAAAACACAACCAAATGGTACTAATTCATGTAACTAAAAGTAGCTATTCTAGTCTGTTGTTGTGATCAGTATTTTAAAACCCAAGCCCAAGTGCATGATTGACAGAGCTCCTATGGACACACCGCATGTGAGGACACAGCTGTGGAAAGCCGTCAGAACATGGCGACAGCACTTCTGTGGAATAAGTTTCTTCATTCCTCAACTGTGGAACAAACCAAAATGCTGAAGCATCTGGCAGGATCTGTGGCAGCTGGAAAGTCCCCTAACCACACATTATAAAGCCCTCAAGAAGCTTGTGGTTTAACACATAGATATCATTATTCTAACATCCACGAAAATAAAATTCAATTATGCGTTACTGAATGTTGACTTTATTCCATATCGGGATGATTTTGTTTGTCAAAACATCCTCAAATAATGTCCCAGAACTTCCTGGCATGCTAAGCAGAAAACCTGGAGAATAATTTACCTTGTTTTCTAGTTCAGTAAAGATTTAAATAAACTAAAAAACTTAAACAAAAGGCAAAATTCCCAAAAACTGATTATTCTTCTCATTTTAGCCTGAATTCTTCTTTTGTTAAAAACAATTTACTATTCAAAGAGTGTTTTATCTTTGCTCATAAAATGTAGTCTTCCTTTCCAGTGCAGCTTTGCTTTTAGAAAGAGAAAAGATTTCAACGAAATAAGTTAAATATGCAAATATATGTACATGTGTGAACATGCACATTCAGTAAGCTATTTTGTTGCTCATTTTTTGATGAGGAAGAGAAACTGAGTGTGTATATGAGTGTGTTTTAATCTTTTCAGCAGCTCCACAAAAACGGTTGTTTTTCACTTAAGAAGTCATATCCATCCTTCACCCACCCAGATAAGGATATTTCCATTTAAAAAAAAGAAAAAGAGGAAGACTCGGTATGTCCAGCGTGATGCCTTGTTTCACACGAGTGTTAAAGAAATAATCTGCTCGGATGTGTGCAGCTGTTTTCCTTCAGTGCTCGTGGTTCTCAGCAGGGGCTTCCTGCAGTTTCCTTGCTGATGACTTCTGAGCCCATAAATCACTCAGAGAGATGACGGTGCCGTGAGTGAGCACTGCACACTGGGATGTCACCGCAAAGCTGAGGTGGGCGAGACAACGGCTTTGGAGATGAACTCTTAAGACTCAAGGCAGCCCTAACCAGTCTGACCCTTACACCTTGTTACTCAACCTTGGTGGCATGTTTATGCTGGTTGGGTCATTTAATTTTATTTTACGTTGAGTGCTTTTAGTATAACATGAAACAGTAGTTAAGCACTGTTAATTCTATAAAATAGTTTCTTACTCCATTTCCCTTCTAGTGGTTATATAATGGTTATTATAGTCTGTTTCTAAGATGCCTTGCTTTCTTCTTCATTTTTATTGGAATAACTAGGGTGATAAACCCGAGTTTTTTCAACAAAAGAAATTCTTAAAACTTCAGGTAGTCTTATAAAGTTCAAAATAAGTAACTAAATAAAGGGTAGCATAAGAAAATAGAAAAGTAAAGAGATAGTTCTTGATAGAAAAATGTGTGCATACACACACACACATAAATATACAGCCACAGTGTTACTAAAAGTCATCTTCTAGTCTGGGGTAGCTTTTCAAAAGAAAAAAGAAACATATGCTACTAATTTTATAGTATTTTTCCTTTTTTTAATATTGGCCAAAAAACAGGGTTTTTATAGAGTTTTCTTAAAAGAAATACTTAAAACCAGTATCAAGACATCTTCCTTTATAAGAGGAACTGCAATCTTCATACTTGAATTGTCTGTAGCCAAATCATTCTATTTTCTATTTGTGTATTGAATCAATACAACAGTTAACTCAGTGCTATTTTATCACATATGAAGCACGGGAGAGTCATTTTCTTTCCCTTAGACCAAATGAGTCTGGTTGAGAGTAAGAAGACTTTTGTTTTAGTTTTATTATTAAGCAATTGAGAGAATTCCCTGTGTTCTCTGTATCTCAGGAATAAAACATATCTTCTCAGAAGACGATTATTCCCCAAAAGTGACAGGTGGCTACAAAGTTGTTCCAAAGCACAGGTGCCATATTTTTGTTCTTTGTAACTCCTGGATGCCCAGTTCAGCTTCTAACAGACAAAGAGTGCAATTCAAAGCATCCCAACGATACTACACTTGCTGAACTTTCCATGCGATTTCAACAACAATTGGGCTCTTTATGTCCTCAGGAAGCCCTGTTAAAAAGTCTTTTGCCATTAGAGATGGACCTTCCAAGGTGGAGCTCCCCAGCCATCTGGAAAATAATCATGACCACCTCTCTGTTACTGTTGATGACTATCCCACATGTCTCTCCTCTGCAACATCATTTCATTCATTTTGTTTACAGATTATCTAACATTTCAGACCCAGTTCTCAGCTCTGAAAATAACAAAGATGAATGAGACACATTCCCTGAGTTTAAGGCATTCATGGACCATGGGACAGTCAGACTGAAAAACATGACTAAAACCCAGTATTGTAAGTAAGATGGCAAGCATCAGTCAAAAGACATGAGACAAACAAAGACGCAGAATACAAACCAAGATCTGAACTAGTGAGGTGACTATTTCTGTGTTAAAGGATGAAGAGTGATTATCCAATTAAGGCAGGAGAATGAGATGACACATTCGAAATTAAGGAGAGAGCATTAGAATAAACAACACAAACAGGACCCTGTGAACCTGAAGTACAGAAACAGTATTGAGTATAGAAAATCACAAACGTAACTGGCATATTGAACCAGCCACACTTGGGATGAAAGTATCACACAGCCTCTTCACTGCTCATGAGTCCTCACATTTACCTGGTGGGCCTAGTTCTTCCTCTGGGGATAACTGAAACTCAGATAGACCTCCTGATTTTCCCAGTCAGTTCTTTCAGTTAATTATTCAAATGATATAACATAATCAAAATTTCCTGTTTGATTTAAAGTTAAAACTTCTTCCCGTCCCCACCTTTGCTTGCAGATAAGGAAAGGGGTGTGCCAGTTTCTTCTCTCACACACGAGGTAAGGAAGATTGGAAGTTAATTTTGAAGAAAATCTAGAGCCATTGAAAAAAAACACTTCAGAGTCATATCATGAGACTGAATTGATACATAAGACTTCTTTGGAAAATGGATTTGGAGAAAATAAGACTAGAGGCAGAATGCTAGATTTAGTGAGGGCCTGTATTAGCAAAGCAGCAGTAATGATGGAAAGAAAGAAAAGTTAAGAAAAACTAAGGAGGTAAAAATCTGTGTACACTGGGTTAGTGTTTGGATAAGGGGAAACAGGTATAATTTGAGATCAAAGGTAAATCTCAGGTTCCAAGTTTGGATGAATGGATGGAATCTGTTGCCATCCACCTCTGGGGAAGCATAGCCAGAGGCAGAGTGAGCTCAATTTTAAACATGTTGAATTTGAGAGTACATGGAACAGAAGTAATGAAAGCCACTGGGCACTTGTATGTATTAGAATAAACTACATGGTGGAAAATGCAGGCTGACAGTACTATATCAGCAAAACTGTAGATACAGACACATGTTTAAGGAGTAGCCAGAGATTGAGTGGTCTGAAAAAAAAAGAAAAAATGAGAATAATTAAAGGTTATGTTATCATACAAACCACATAATTATCTCTTAGAAATTTATTGATTTTTAAAATATCTTTAGTGTCTCAATTCTATCAAGATTTATTCATTTTCATTTCACTATAAATATCCTACGTGTGATAAAAAACATTTTTTGTAAACAGATTCATCATTCCATAAATTTAAAAAATATATTGCAGTGTAAATAATGCAAGGAAAAATAACCTTGCTTTTTAAGAAACTTCCATAACTGCCTGATAAATATAAATTACCACCTTTTTTGGAGGGTGAGGGGAGTGTTAGTAACTGTTTTGTGATCAGCACCTTTCCATTCTCTGCTCTTTACCATACGTGAATTAACCATTTGAGAAGCTGGGTATTGTTGTTCTTGTCGTTGTTGTTTTCAGTTATAGGAAATCTGATTTTCTTTCAGGTGTTCTCTTGCACATCCTCATTCCATGGTTATATGTAAAGACCTTGGATTTATTTCCCTCCCTGGAACTCTATATCATTAGGAACATAGGCTGCCTTGAAATCCTCACTATAAAGTATTATATTGGTGGTACTTGTTTGCTTTGTTTTGTTTTGTTTTTTGAGACAGAGTCTTGCTCTGTCGCCCAGGCTGGAGTCAGTGGTGTGATTTCAGCTCACTGTGACCTCTGACTCCTGGGTTCAAGCAATTCTCCTGCCTCAGCCTCCCAAGTAGCTGGGACTACAGGTGTGTGCCACCATGCCTGGCTAATTTTTGTATTTTTAGTAGAGATGGGGTTTCACCATATTGGCCAGGCTGGTCTCAAACTCCTGACCTTGTGATCAACCTGCCTCAGCCTCCTAAAGGACTGGGATTACAGGAGTGAGCCACTGTGCCCGGCCACTTGTTTGTTTTAAATAGTCTGTAGTGTTTTCTTTTATACAAGAAAATCGAAAGCCTCTTTATCTGAGTAATTATATGAGGTACAAGTTGCTGGTTATGAGAAGAGACATTTAAACTCTACAAATAAAAGCCTTTCTGGGATAAGTCAATTATTTTTCGGGTTGAATAAGTGCTGTAGGCTTTATTGCTATTAATGAGAATGTTATCAGCTTAGCACTTGAATTTTGATTCTAACTGTGTTTGTAAAAGAAACTCATCTTTTTCTTTATAATTTATTTGAATGAATTAATCATTGTGAATAGAAACTGAAACATTTATTTTATAATAGAACCTAAAAGGTTTATTTATCTAATGAGCTATAATAATGAGTCTCTACTATTTATATAAAACCTACTATTATTTTGTTCAGAGTATTCAAGGAATAACATACCAAATTTAACAATAAATCCAGAAATGTTGAAGTACATTTCTATCTATATTATGGTATATTATGGTACATTTCTATCTATATTTTGGTATGGTATTATGGTACATGGTATATGGTATCTATCTATATTATGGTATAGAATGCCTGGAATGGATGAATGGATAGAGAGACCAACAGACAGATGGATACAGATTAACCAATATCAATCATCAGGTGGGAGGACAAGTCCACTTCTGAAGCTGGTGAATAACCTGTCCAGAGTTTCGCACAGTCATAGCTGCCTGACTACTGGTTTTATAAACAGAGTAAACCTTTATCACTGTCCTCAAGGACATTTCACCCAATAGAGAGAGAAAGCTAACACATAAAATGAAAAACAATTTCTAAGAGGAAAAAAAAAATCACTCTTCTCTTTTCCAACAGTAATATCATTATCTTAACCCAAAACTAGTGCGTCAGGAAAGCCTCACAAGATAACAGAACTATCTAGTTTTACCAACTTGGACATTTTTAGGAAAGTAGGTCAAGATATGGATCCGAAGCACATAATCCTGCTGTGTGGTTTCAGAGTCAGATTTCTAATACATTTTTAACCAAGTGTGGATATCTTTCATTTTTCCTTGCAGAAAACAAAATTGTGATCCCCATAAAAACAGACTACTTTATGCACCTTATACCACTCAGACATTCTCATATTGTGCCAAGACAGTAGAAGACATGGCATTTATTAAATATGTCTGGAGTAAGAGTGTCATTACTGTCTAACTAAATCATTCTGCTGACCAAATTATTCTGCGTTAAGGGACTTCAAACCAAGCAGGAATTGGAGACAATCATAAAATACTATTGGAGAGAAATATAGGCCTGCCTCACATTTCTAAACTTGGGGTTATCTTTGTCTCCCAAACATACATATGTAATATATTGTTTTTCATCTTCTTATTTTCAAACTGTCATCTTCACAAACATAGTGAAAATATACAGATCTTGGTAGTTTAACAAACATTGCAAAGTGTAAATAACTTTTTAGAGCAAAGTAGGTCTGAAGACATCTCAGATCATACCACATGGTGATCTCCTGAAAATACTGGTAGTCAACCTCAGCGAACACTCAAGATTTACATCATTTTAAATTCAACACTGACTATATACATGTTAATAGCAAATAAAGGAGACCAATGTTTACACACCTCTAATACAGGTCTCTCCAAACCAGATTTTAATGCTGATTATTATAATCTTCATACTTCAGATGTTACAAAATCAAATTTAAAAAAATAATAATTCATTTACTTAACATGTATGTCTGAACATTAACTATGAGATAAGCCTTAATCTGAATGCTAGAGATACCACAGAGAACAAGGTGGACCAAATCCCCTATTTCCTTAAGGCTTGTATTTTTGTGTAATATCCATACGTGTCATAGCTTCCCTGCAAGACAAACTAATGTTCATTTTTATTGAGTTATATTATAAATATTCATCATAGGCTCTTTAAGAAAACATCTTACCAAATAAACTATAATGAAAGAAAATGGCTTGTCACAATAAATATTTGGCCAATTAATAAATCAATTATTTTCCCAAATATACATATTATTAAAAATAGTTCCCCTTACATTTTAGGATTTGGGTGTGAGTCAAAATTAATTTTTATGCTGGATTTTACTGAAACCAAATAACAGCATAATTTTCTTTGTATATATAATGTCATTTAAATATTCATAACTTTGACCACAAGTCTTATTACATTTCTTACACCAAATATGTCCTTGTGCTGGCTTTAAATTCTGCTATAAGAGCAAAAACCATTCACAATATATGGTCAGAGAGCATCACATGCTCTATATTATATAATTACCATAAAAATACAGGGGAGAAGATTTTAGGCAGTCTTACCTAATATCATGTTTATATATCTGTGGCAACTAATGCAAACATGAAATGATAACTTTCTACTAAAGGGCATTTTCTAAAATATTATGGCAAATTAAGTGACAGTGGAGTATTACCTGTTTTGTCAGCTAATAATCAGATTTCAGTTGGACTACTAACTTTACCCAAAATAGGGTGCCACTTACTTGTTTTATCAGCTGTATTCTAGTTTTTCTCTCCATAATTGTAGCTAAGCTTATTGTAATGTAATTTTATTCATCTTTTATTTTCTTCTCACTTCAAACTTTTCCTTCCTTTCAGTAGTTTTGTTATATCTTGGTAGTCAAGTGAGTGATCATATAAATAACAACAGGTTTTCTCAGCTGCAATCCAAAAGACTTACAGTAAGACTGATAGTTGAATTCTCCACAGAAATGGAAGAAATGGCAATGACTTCTTTAAACAACATAATTACCCATAGAAAATTCTGTGTTCAGTGAAACCCTTTCAAAGGTTAAATAAAGATACTCCTAAAAAAATTAAAATAAAGAGTATTCACCACCACTAGATCTGCATTAAAATAAATACTAAAGGAGGGAGTCCTTTAAGTAGAAGCAAAATAATCCCAGACATAAACATAGAAAACCATTAAAGTGCTAAAAATTAAAGATGAGAAAAATTTTGTTTAAGTACTATCCAAAAGAATTTTTGTGCATTATGACAAGACCAAACAAGACAGATTTTAAGGCAAGAAGAATCATCAGAGCTAGAAAGAGACATTTCCTACTGAAAGAGTCAATTCTTCAGAAAGAAAAATTCTAAACTTGTATACACCTAACAACAAAACTTTCAAATACAGTGGTGTTTGGCTTAACAGTGGGAACATATCCTGTGAGATGCATCATCAGGCACATGTATTGTTGTGCAAACATCACAGAGTGCACTGACACAAACCTAGATGGCATAACCTACTACACACCTGGGCTAAATGGTACAGCCTACTATTCCTAGGCAACACCTAGAAAGCATGCTACTCCACTGACTACCCTAGGCCAAGCTTGTCCAACCCGTGACCCAGCCTAAGATGACTTTGAATGCAGCCCAACACAAATTCATAAACTTTCTTATAATGTTATTAGAATTTTTTGCAATTTTTTTTTTAGCTCATCAGCTGTTGTTAGTGCTGGCGTATCTTATGTGTGGCCCAAGACAATTCTTCTTCCAATGTGTCCCAGGGAAGCCAAAAGATTGTACACCCCTGCTCTAGGCAACTGTAATGCAACAGTAAGTATTTGTGTATCTGATCATAGCTAAACATAGAAAAGGTAAAATGCACCGCACTCTGACATTATGAAGGCTCAGACAGCAATAGGCTATAGGAGTTGTTCAGCTCCACTGTAACCTTAGGAGGCCACCGTTGAATATGCAGTCTGTTGTTGAAAGAAATGTTATTTGGAGCATGACTGTATATACAAAACAGAATGACAAAAGTAAAAGGAGAAATGAATGTATGTATAATAATAGATTTTAAAACACATTTTTCATAATTAGTAGACCAAATAGAAAAAATTCTGCAATCATATAGACCAGTAAGTATACAGAAGATCCATTAGGTTGAGGAGAAACCTGACCTGAAGGATGCCTGGGAAGTACTATAGTACAGCATAGAAGCACACTCAGATTCTATTGAAATTTACACGGAGCATTTTCCAAAATGTATTTTAAACTTAGCTATAAAGCAAGTCTCAACAAGTTTGAAATACTACAATAATTTGGAATCTGTTCTCCTGACCATGGTGTAGTTACACTGGAAAGCAATAATGAAAAAGTGATTGGAATATGTCAATATGTTTGAAAATTAAGCAATGTATTTAAAAATAACGCACTAGTAAAGAAAGACAACTCAATGAAAAATCAGAAAATCTTTTAAACTGAATTTAATAAAAATACATCTCAAAATTTTAGAGAGGCAGGTAAAACTGCTTAGAGAAATGTATATCTATATGGGGGCCCGGGCACGGTGGCTCACGCCTGTAATCCCAGCACTTCGGGAGGCCAAGGTGGGTGGATCACAAGGTCAGGGGATCAAGACCATCCTGGCTAACAGGGTGAAACCCCTGTCTCTACTAAAAATACAAAAAATATTATCCAGGCGTGGTGGTGGGCGCCTGTAGTCCAAGCTACTCAGGAGGCTGAGGCAGGAGAATGGCGTGAACCTGGGAGGCGGAGCTTGCAGTGAGCTGAGATCCCACCACTGCACTCCAGCCTGGGTGACAGAGCCAGACTCCGTCTCAAAAAAAAGAAAGGAAGAAAGAAACAAATGTATATCTACATATTAGCAAAGAGGAAAAGCTAAAGAATGTTCTAAAGTAGTTGGAAAAATAAGAACAAACTAATCCTAATAAAAATGGGAAGAAGGAAATGTAGGTTAATCCAAAAAAATTTAATTTAAATTTGATGAAGTAACAAACATATAGTAGAAAAATTAAAAAGCAAAAATTTATTTCCCTAAAAAGACGAATAATTTTTATAAACTCCCTATAACAATTGCTAGGATCAGGCCAGAAAAGAGAAATGAATAATATAAGAAATTTTTAAAAAGGTACATCCCAACAGACATTACATATATTAAAAAGATAAAGACATACAATTTTTTGACCTATATACCAATATATTTCAAAATTTAGAAGAAATTGTCAAATTCCTAGAAAAATATAGCTTACCAAAACTCATTGAAAAAAATCTATTTGGAATATATTGTATCTATTAAAGAAATTAAATCTGTCATTAGGAAACTTGCCACAAAGAAAACTCTAAGCCTGTATGGCTTCACCAATATGTGAATTTTTCAAATGATTCCTTAAAAGAATGGTAAAGTAAGAACTATAACTGTCAATATTCACAGACAATGTAAACCATCAAGGGGGGAACTACAGAGCAACCGAACTGAATAGAAAGTTGAAAACCAGACCGACTCGATACTCAGTCACTTGGGTCACGACGTAGGTACCACCTGAGAGTGGCTGAAAAGAGTAGTCTTTTCATTAAGTGGTGCTGGATCAATTACATATTTATATGTAAAAAAAGAAAAATAAACTTTGACCTTCACATCACACACACACACACACACACACACAATTCTAGCTGGAATATAGATCTAAATTTGAAAGATAAAATAATTAAAAATTCTGGAGTAAAACATAGGAAAATATCTTCATGGTAATGGGCTTGAAATTATACTCTGTGTGATTCGTATCAATGAATAAACACTTTCTTTAAATAAAGTTTTATTCAAATTAAAAGCCATCAGGGATCAGCTACAGAATTTTTTTAAAAAGAAGGAAAGAAAGAAAAAGAAAAGAAAATATTTCGGCTGGGTGCAGTGGCTCACACCTGTAATCCCAGCACTTTGGGAGCTGAGGCAGATGGATCATGAGGTCAGGTGTTCGAGACCAGCCTGGCCAACATAGTGAAACCCCATCTCTACTAAAAATACAAAAAATTAGCCGGGCATGGTGGCGGGCACCTGTAATCCCAGTTACTCAAGAGGCTGAGGCAGGAGAATCGCTTGAACCTGGGAGGTGGAGGTTTCAGTGAGCCGAGATTGTGCCACTGCACTCCCGCCTGGGCAACAGTGTGAGACTCTGTCAAAAAAAAAAAAAAAAAATTCAAATTAAGGTCTACTTCAAGAAAACCACAAAGGTGAGAGATTTATTCAGAATTCAGCAGTCTAAGATTGGAAAGGAAACAGTAATAGTATTTAAGAAAAAGTAAATGCACAAGAAATTGATTTCCAACATTTTCCATTTTTTAAAATACTCACAGACAGGCAGAATACTTCCACCATACTGCCCTCTATGCCTATCAAAGAAAAATAATGAGCCAGAAAAGATTAATAGAAATAGGGATATCTTTAGGGAGAAAAAAACCCTTTCTTTAATAATAAAATAGAGTGTAAATCCAGCAATGCAGGCATCTCCAGTGCTGTCAATGAACTTACTTCATTTTGGAGATTAGAGGAAGAAGCAGGCTGACAGTGGCTAAGCATGAGTATTTACTGAGGCTCAGCCTCAAGAGGGTATATTTTATACTATAAAGCACCAATATACAGATACCAATATGGTTGTAGGCATGGGTTTCAGAAGGCGTGTGTGTGTCAGTATGGATGGAGATACAGTTGTGCTCCACACAGTGACATTTCGGTCCACGATGGACTCTGCATATACAATGCTGGTCCCATAAGATTGTAACAGAATGGGCTTAAGCAGGTCTTCTGTTTTTTAATCTTTTATATCAAATTTGTACTGTACCTTTTCTACGTTTAAATACACAAATACTTATCATTGTATTACAATTGCCTGCGGTATTCAGTGCAGTAACCTGCTGTACATGTTTGCAGCCCAGGAACAATCGTCTATACCATATTGCCAAGGTAACTGATGGGCTACACCAGCTAGGTCTGTGTAAGTACACTCTGTGATGTTCACCAACAAAATTGCCTAATAATGCATTTCTCAGAACATATCCTCATCATTAACGAATGCATGTCTGTATAGAGATGTAATGTGCTAACTCTGATAGCCTAGAGTGGTGAGGTTGGATGAGGTTCCTGAAAGGGGCTGAATGATAGAATGAAGATGTTTCTCTCCTTTCACACTACTTATATCTTAATTATAAAAGTTTGATATTATTTTTAAGTCAAAACATTCCCTATTCAAAATAATCTATATCAAAACAGGGTTACTAGAAAAATGCAAAGTTCCCAAGGTAGTCAAAACAACTTTGCAAAACAACAAAGTTGAGGATCTTGCACGTATAGCAATCAATAATCATTATAAAGGTACAATAATCAAGACAATGTGATATTTGCCTCAAGACCAACAAATACATCAATAAAATAGAAGAGAAAGTTTAGAAACAGACCTACACATATATGATCAATTCATCTTTTATAAATGTACAAAGGCAGCTTAATAAAGAAAAATAGTATTTTTAACTAGTACTAGAACAACTGGATACCAATATACAAAAGCAAAAGCAAACAAACCAAAAAGACTTTATACCTAACATAACATGTGAAAGTTAATTCAGAAAGGACTATAGAACCAAGGTAAAGCCTAAAACTATCAAACTTCTAGAATAAGCTGTATAACAGAAACTTTATTACTTTGGGTTAGAAAGGTTGCTTCATAGAAAAACACAATCCATAGAAGAAAATAGTGATAAAAGAAATTTCGTAAAAATAAGAACACCTGCTCTTCAAGAATATCGTTAAGAGAAAGAAAAGATAAACCACAGACCATGAAAAATAGGAATCATATATCTAACAAATTCATTGTATCCAGAATAATCTTCAAAAATTGATAAGATCAAACCCATAAAAATTAGACAATAGACAAAAGATCTGAACAGATGGTATGCCAGAGGCATGCCATGACAAATAAGCCTATGAAAGACATTTAGTATTATTAGTCATTAGGGAAATGTAAATAAAAAACCACAATGAGACACTACTACATACCTATTAGAAAGGAAAAAATTTCAAAGCGTAATCATACGAACTGTTGATGAAGATGTGGAGGAACTGGAACTCCTATATTCTGCTAGTGAGATTGTACATAGTATGTTTACTTTAGAAAGTGGTTTGGCAGTTTCTTTAAAAGTTAAACATATGCCTGTTACAGGACTCAGCTGTTCCACAATTAGGTGTCTACCAAGAGAAACAAAAGTGTATCTCTGTTCAAATAGTTGTACATGTATATGTGCACATACAGCAGATGCATTCGTGATAGCCAAAAGTTGGAAACAACTAAAATGTCCATAAACAGGTGAATGGATAAACAAATTGTGATATATCAAGGGAGTACTACTTAGCTAAACAAAGGAGCAAAAAAATGAATGTTCAAAAGAATGATGAATAAACCTCCAAATAATTATGCTGAAAGCAGCCAGTATATACCGCATGTATACAGTAAATATATTTTCTATAATTTGGGGATTTATATAAATTTATGTAAAATTTATATTAATTCTACAAAATACGGTCTATAGTGACAAAAGAGTTCAGTGGTTTCCTGAGGAAGGAGGTGGGACTTGGGACTGTGTGATGGGAGGGCCTTCAGGAAACTTGTTGAGGTGAGGGATATGTTTGCTATTTTTATTTTCAGATGGTTTCATGATTGTAGATTGGATCCGTTTCCTGGGGCTATTTCACCACAAACTGGTTGGCTTAAAACAACATGAATTTATTGCCTTACAATTCTGGAGGCTGGAAGCCCACCATCAGCGTTGTTGGCAAGGCGATGCCAGTCCGAGGCCTCCACGAGAGAATCCTTTCTTGCCTCTTCTAACTCTGGTGGCCGCAGGTTCTTCTTGACGTGTGGCAGCATCACTCCACCCCCTGCCTCCTTGTCATGTGGCGTTCTTCCCTCTGTGTCTGTATCTGTTTGCCAGTGTCTTTCTTATGATGACACCCCTCATTTAGGATTAAGGGGATTAAGGGCCCACTCCACTCCACTACAACCTCATCTTAGCTAATTATACCTGCAATGACCCTATTTCCAAATAAAGGCCCTATTCGCAAATGAGAAACAGGGTTTAGGACTTTAACATATCTCGTGAGGGACATAATTCAACCCATTATATGTGCTTATGTCGAAGCCCATCAAACTGTACACTGTACCATGTGTGGTTTATTTTAGGTCAGTTAGACCTAAATAAGTCTGTTAGGAATTTTTGAAAAAACACAAGGTTTTTATAAGCAAAATATATAATAGTAGGACAAACTGTAAATCAGATTTTTTAAAAACGCTACCCTGCAGTGTAACAGCATCACGTGCATCACACAGAAGAAACTGAAAAAAAAAAACCATACAGGGCACAAAAAAAGAGTGACATCATTAGAGAATTCCCCAGGAGAGGAGGGAAATCTGTCAGGAAGACAGAGTCTTATGATTTTGTCCATGGGTGTCCCAGTACATGTGCGATGCAGGACAGGCTTACTGCTTGAAAAATATTCAGCTAAAAGAGGGTCCTATACAACACAAAGTTTTGAAAGCACATAACAATACTCTATGTGTTCAAATTTCAAAGGGTTCTCTCAGGGCATAGAATGTATTTCAAACTTCTACATAGAGGAAAGAAATTGGCATATTTAAGTATCTTTAAACATTAGCACCTGTAAAATAAGAAGGTAAATTTATATACAGAAGTTGGGCCCACAGTGACCATTAAAATAGTTGTATATAATTTATGAATACATTTTAGAATTTGGAAGAGTTAACTCTAAAATAATTGAGAGAGTTTTTAGTTGATCCAAAAATTTTAAATTTTCTTAGATAAAGTATATTTAGAAAATGACTCATATCAGTAAATGTGCCTTAATTAGACACCACCTGGAAAGATTAAGATTATTTTACACCAAACAATACAAAAATCACAAGAAAAACAAATTAAATATAGGTAGTTTAAAGCATATTCCAAGCATTATCTAGATTCCATTTCTAAGAAATATTTTACATCATAAATGATTGCTCACTTCCAAACTGGATTTGTTTTTTCTTCTTGATCATTATTAGCGGTATCTTTCCAGGTATAATTTCCAAGCCCTTTTTCTTCCCAAGAGCTCCTCTGTTCTAGTTTATGATGTTACCTCTAAAATGTTCGCACATCTGCTGACTTAGCTCCTGACTGGTAGTTAATTTATTATCTTATCACAGTCAGTCTGGCTTGGCTCAGTCATTACCAAGTCTGCAACTGTACTCTGAGCGAAGGAAAGCCTGGTTTATCTCGGTATCCTTGCATTCAGCGCAATGTGAGGCCGGGAGACACACTTTCTTCTGAATGAGGTGGAGCCGGGCTGAGGAGCGTTGGCTCTCGCCTGATGGGAGGCCTAGTGCAGAGCCCGCCAGGCTGGTCTGGGGTAGCCTGTGTGGGACTACACAGGGGTGTAGTCTTCAGCACTAATCTCTGGATTTATCTTTATGAAATGTCATTCCATGTTCCACGTGCCACTTTCGCTGGGCAAAAATCTTGTAAGGGTTGTCTAAGAGTAAATGAAAAAATATATATGTTATCTTCATCAGTCTTAGGAGACGAATTTTTGATTTATCATTCTTTTCTCTGCTCCTAGTTCTCCCAACGAAGCTTCAGTGATCATGAAAGTCAATTTATTCCAATTCTTATGCGTTTACCAATGGCTAACAGTCCTGGGGGCTCCTTTAAGATGACATTAACTGTAATTATCTGGTCTCAAGTGAGTAAGACATTAATTACTTTTGAAATAAGGTGCCTGAATTATATACATTGAACATACATCCAATTTATTTTACTCACAAAACAACTAAGGAAAACATTCAGTGACAGAAATACAATGTATAGTCTAATTTGGTATGCAACGAATATTTTCAGCCAAGCTAATCCAGTCTCCTAGAGAAAAGACTCATCTTGTCACCAGCACAACAGGTCAATAACCATATTTACATTTCTCATATGGCCCCTGCTATGCTCGCCAAGAATAAAATCACCAGTAGATATTAAATACTTAGGCATAATGAGGTTTAAAAATATAATATTCTATTTATCTATTTCTTAAAGCAAGCATGTAAGCTATTTCTGTGTTTTTTCACTAATTAAAAAAAATTAGGTACAGAGAGCTCAGGAATTTATCTAAACACAACATAAATTACAGCCGGTACTAAAACTAAGAGTTGTGGCAAGTCCTTGTATGAAGCCTGCAGTTTAGTGTGGAACTATAATTACACCTGAGCTTGATACATAGGAAAGCAATTTTGTCTTTTTTTTTTTTGTCATCTTCATTGGGTTTCTAGTCCTTGTCTGATAAAAAGTTCGAAATTGAAAGATTAAATTTCATGTTTTTCTGTTGTATTTTTGCCTCCTTTTCTTTTTGTTTTCTCTTTCTGACTGCCTGATTTAATCCGGTAGTTGGCTATCATACATGTGTATGTCTGTGTGATAGCAAATGAGTGACTTTTCATTCCTATGGGTAGTAACTATTTTTCCATTTGTTTTGTAGAAATGGGTCTCATGATGTTGCCCAGGTTGGTCTCGATCTCCTGTCTTCAAGTAATCCTCCTGACTCGGTCCCCAAAGTGCTGGGATTACAGGCATGAGCCACTGCGCCCGGCCAGTATTAACCTTAATGTGTTTCATTTTAGATTTCTGTTCTCCCTTGGGCCACGTTTTATGTACATACTCTGACTCAGTCACTTTGAAGTCTGCAAATTGTCTCACAAAACTGCATGTGGCTCCTTACAGATTGAATCTTTCTTCCCCATGTCTCCCAGGGATAATTTCAAAACATTGATCAGAAGTCACAAGCTGGCGGCCCATGAGCCAAATCCATTCATCAGATGTATTTCTATTGCGTGGTTACTGTACATTGTATAGTTTTTTTCTACAGTATGTTTGAATCATTTCATATTTAAAAATTAGGAAATTTCCTGTAGTAGCCACACTTCCTGGCTTTTTCTGGAAATGTGTGAGATTCAGCAATACAGATTTTACTTCCTATAAGGCAGGAATCTTCTGCAGGTGAGTAGTGACTGACCCAGGGCAAGTACACATCAATTTATCACATACACCAACAATCGCTATTTTTCTGACCTTGACCCACTTCATTCACACATGACGTGCCTGTTCAAGCAGCCAGTGGAAAGTGCACCGTGTGGTTAATATGCAACAGAAAGCAGGTGTGTGGCAAATTCTAAAAGTTCTCTCTCCTCACTCTTGAGTTTCACGCTGGGGAACTCATTTCCGAGTAAACATGCCTTTACTCAGCCTCTCTTCTTTCTACTGAGATGGGGTTATCGTTAAGTTCAGGGCTGGTTTCTGGCAAAATTCTGAAGCTGTTTAAGTTTACTTTATATTATCCCCCTTCTAATTTCTATACCCATTGCAAACTATTTTAGTGTATGTGTATATGTATGACATAGATGTAGGTATTTCATGTGTATTCAAACCCACATTCTATTTTTGTTTCTGTGCCCTAATATTTGAATTATAAAATAATGTTGGACCAGGAAAATACCTAACAAAAAGAGATAAATCACTAATAAACCTGAAGAAATATGGCAAGAGACCAAATGGTAGAGAGAGAACAACAGGTCTTCAGGAGTCTGTAAATGGTACATAATAGATGTGTGCTGTTGACCACCTTGCTCTGAGTTTAAATCTTTCTGTTGTTGAAATATGTGGTTAAATAGGGTTAAATGAACCCAAAGGAAACATCATAGCAACGTTGATGACCCCTATGTTGACATAAATGGTGCCCAAGTTATTTCCTGAGGTCAAGGTCCCTGATACCCATTCAAAAATTGTATTTAATGAAATGGAGTCTAGGGCCCTCCGAGGCCTTGAGTTTGTCATAGTTCCCCAGAAATGTCAATATAGGAGGAACTTTACAATGAAATGATCTTCGATTTGATTCGGAGGGTTATCCTCCTGGCATTGGTGAAGTCAGGAAATTCAGAAATGTCACAGAAATGATTGAAAGGTTCTGAAATCAACTGAGGTTGAGATGTGCTGGGGTGGAACTCAGGCTCAACTGTGCTCTGGAGAGTGCAGATAGTAAAGAACGCTGCCTCAGATGACTGTCCACTTGTGTTTACAGCAAAAGAGCTCAGAAATCACCAAGAGGGCTGGGCAGCAGAGTGTGGAGGTCCACTGGATTGGATTTAGAGGGTGGGGATGGGGTCATGTGGCCATGAAAGATAAGTCAAAGGGAACATGGAGGACAATCAGTAGTGATGAGAGGAAATAGCTCCTATGTCACGGGATCATGAGATGGGGTTTGTGTAGATGAGCCACTTAACCAGAAGCTTAAGGGACTTAAAGCCATATGCAAATTTCCTCCTCTTCCTAATCCTCCTCCTATTCCTCGCCCCGCCCCCCGTTCCTATTCCTCCTAATTCTCATCCTCCTCCTATTCCTTCTTCTCCTCCTCCTATTCCTTTTCCTCCCCACCCCTCTTTCTTCCTTTCCTGTTTCTTCTTCCATATTGAGAGCTCAGCATTTATACAAATACTACATGAAAAGGCCTCAGTTCCTTAATGAATTAGAATCCCAAACCTGAAGTGTAATGGGATTTGGATAAAGGAACTACAGGGTGTCTATGGCATCCTAGCACCCAGAAGAGCAGGTACTGGGCTAATTCTGTGAGACTGAGGAACTGTACATCCTAGAGGGAATTACATGAATGTTAAACTTAAGTCTTTAGATGAATCCTACAAAATACTGGAGGACTGTGCTTGGACTCATGGATACAATTTTACTTGGTTTCCACTAAATGATGTACCTGCCTGATGAACAATGAAAATCAGCACTCTGAGAAAACCTCCTTTGAATAAAATTTGAAAGCTTTTATCTATATAAAACTAGCTGTTTATTAATTAGAAAGGTAAATATGGATTAAACATATCTATATTTGCATTACAAGACAAAATGACATCAAAGTAAGACAGGGGAAAGGAAAGTTCATAAAGCTCAGTTTAGTTTTCCTCACGTGACTGAAATTTGTTTTTGTTACTGAATGATGAAGCCTCTTTGACTTTCCCATACACTATGGCTGTGAATAGCAGAAGCCAGAGTCAGCCCTCTCCCATCTGAAGTTCTGCTCTTGGCCATGAGTAACACTGCATCACGGCAAGGTGCAGCAGCATCAGTTTCACCTGGGAACCTCAGAGCCAGAGACCAAACCATCCCAGAATCTGGAGGGACTGAGAGTGTCTCTTTTTCCCAAATCCGCGTTAGATCTGCCTGCCAGGGTGAAGGCTGACCTGCTGAAGGTGGCCTGCCATCCCGGCCGGCCGGCCGGCCTCCTGCTGGCCCCCTCAGGCTGCCTCCTTTTAGCTTTTCCCAGTGCTCATTTCTCTTTACTCTGAATGCTCAGGTGCACACCTAAACCCTCCCGACCTCATATCTCCCTTGGCCCTGCATTCTAAGCAGCAAAGCGTCAGCGCTCAGCTGCTCTCAAGAGTGTTTTTAATGGGATCCTCTTTGATGCCTTTGATGAGATTTGAACAGTGTATAACAGTTTTTAAATTTTCTATATCATCTTCTTACAGCATTTATCTCCTCTTCTTTCCATTGCCCTAAGGAACATGCGGTCCTGGCTGCAGTCTATACTGGCTCCAGATCTACCTTCTTGTTTCCTAACACACTTCCTCCTGTCTACAATGGCTCTTATTACTACTTCTCTGGGATTTGACTGTAGATGATTTTGTAGAGCACTTGTGTACGCAATTTGAGAAGAAATGAATGGAAGGAGATGATGTCTGAGGTGCAGGCAAAGGAAACGCCACAGAAGTTAGTCACAAGTGACAGCTATTCAAACTTTAATTAACTGCTGAAAAAAAGGGCCATCAGCTAAGAGAAGCAAAGAAGAGAAGAATATTGATTATAATCCTTTATTCAAATTATAAAATACTAGGTACAAATAAAATTTTATTTTCATCAGGACAAAGTATACATAGAAATAACACATAATCTCTGACATCTTACAGGCTGGGGAAGCAAAATGTACCTGCTTTCAAAGCATTTCACTTCCGTGTGTCTTTTTAATACATTTCATCTAGAATGTACATGTCTTGAAATAGAGATTTCAGGAAGTGACCAAGAAGAATGATTAATTAGCTCAGATTATTAAGGGGTGGACTTCAGGCAACTTGGTTAATATTGTTTGAAGATGACTTTTATTTAAACATAGATTTACAATAGCAAGGTGAACTGGAATAAGAGGAGAACTTAATTTAGCATATTTAAAAAATCTAACATATCTATCCTTTACATAAAAGACTTTTTCCAGTATTGCAAATTAAATTTTTATTTGTGGGGTGTAGTGAAACAGACTAGAGCACAATAGCTAAAACTTCAGAGGCTTTGCCAACTCAAATTCCCCAGATTTTATTTTTTTATTTTTTCTTTTCATAGTTTTTATTTTAGGTTTGGGGGTACATATGAAGGTTTGTTACATAGATAAACATGTGACATGGGGGTTTGTTGTACATATTATTACATCACCCAGGTATTAAGCTCAATACCCAACAGTGATCTTTTCTGCTCCTCTCCCTCCTCTCACCCTCCCCCCTCAAGCAGTCCCCAGTATCTGTTGTTTCCTTCGTGTTCATAAGTTCTTATCACGTAGCTCCCACTTATAAGTGAGAACATGTGGTATTTGGTTTTCTAATTTTTTTTTTTCTGAGACGGAATCTCGCTCTGTCACCCCTGCTGGAGTGCAGTGGTGCAATCTCAGCTCACTACAACCTCTGCCTCCTGGATTCAAGCAATTCTCCTGCCTCAGCCTCCCGAGTAGCTGGGACTACAGGCATGCACCACCACGCCTGGCTAATTTTTTTTTTTTTTTATTTTTAGTAGAGATGGGGTTTCACCATGTTGGCCAGGCTGGTCTCAAACTCCTGACCTCAAGTGATCTGCCCGCCTCGTCCTCCCAAAGTTCTGGGATTACAAGCGTGAGCCACCGCACCTGGACTTCATTTTCTATTCATGTATTAGTTTGCTAAGGATGATAGCCTCCAGCTCCATAACGTTCTCACAAAAGAAATGGCCTCATTCTTTTTCTGGCTGCATAGTATTCCATAGTCTATATGTACCACATTTTCTCGATCCAGTCTGTCACTGGTGGGCATTGAGGTTGATTCCTTGTCTTTGCTATTGTGAATAGTGCTGCAATGAGCATTCACGTGCATGTGAATTTTAGGTAGAATGCTTTACACTCCTCTGGGTACACACCCAGTAATGGGATTGCTGGGTCTAATGGTATTTCTGACTTCGGGTCTTTGAGGAATCGCCACACTGTCTTCTACAATGGCCGAACTAATTTACACTTCCACCAACAGTGTTTAAGTGTTCCCTTTCCTTCACAACCTCACCAGCTGTTATTTTTTGACTTTCTAATAACAGCCATTCAGACTGGTGCGAGATGGTACTCATTGGGGTTTTGTTTTGCATTTCTTTAATGGTCAGTGATACTGAGCTTTTTTTCACATGCTTGTTGGCTGCATGTATGTCTGTTCCTGTCCTTTGCCCTCTGTTGAATCAGGTTGTTTGATTTTTCTCCTGTAAATGTGTTTAAGTTACTTATAGATGGTGGATATCAGACCTTTGTCAGATGCATAATTTACAAATATTTTCTCCCATTCTGTAAGTTGTCTGTTTACACTGTTGATCATTTATTTTGCTGTGCAGAAACTCTTACGTTTAATTAGATCCCGTTAGTCAATTTTTACTTTTGTTGTGATTGCTTTTGGTGTCTTTGTTATGAAATCTTTGCCCGTTCCTATGTCCAGGATGGTATTACCTAGGTTGTTTCCCAGGGTTTTTATAGTTTTAGATCTTTAATCCATCTTGAGCTGATTTTTGTAAAGAAAGAGTCCAGCTTCAATTTTCTGCATATGGCTAGTAAGTTATCCCAGCACCATTTATTGAAAAGGGAGTCTTTTCCCTATTGCTTATTTTTGTCAGCTTTGTCAAAGGTCAGATGGTCATAGGTGTGTGGCTGTATTTCTGGGGTTTCTATTCGGTTCCATTGGTCTATGTGCCTGTTTTTGTACCAGTACCATTCTGCTTTGGCCACTGCAGCCTTGTAGTATAGTTTGAAGTCAGGTAACATGATTTCTCCAGCTTTATTCTTTTTGCTTAGAATTGCCTTGGCTCTTTGGGCTCTTTTTTGGTTCCATATAAATCTTTAAATAATTTTTTCTAGTTCTGTGAAGTATGTCGCTGATAGTTTGATAGGAATAGCATTGAATCTGTAAATTGCTTTGTCCAGCATAGCTATTTTATTTATATTGAATCTTCCTATCCACGAGCATGGAATGTTTCTCCATTTGTTTGTGTCTTCTCTAACTTCTTTGAGCAGTGTTTCATAATTCTCATTGTAGACATCTTTCCCCTCCTTGGTTAGCTGCATTCCCAGGTCTTTTTTATTTTATTTTATTTTATTTTATTTTATTTTATTTTATTTTTTCTGTGTGGTGGCAAATTATCTTTCTGATGTGGCTCTCAGTTTGGTTGTCGGTGGTGTACAGGAATGCTAGTGATTTTTATAAACTAATTATTAATTATGAAAATATCTTTCTGGTTTCCATTCAAACATCCCTACTACCACATTTAATTACCAAAGTGCATGCTCTTGGAAACACATAAAACAGACCATGATTTTAAAAAAGGTAATTATCCCTAAATCACCCAGAAAAACAATCTTTTACTTGGACAGATTTGCAGTTTTTAAAAAACTATGCCCAAATATTCATATTCAAAGTATAATTAAAGTTTTAGGGATATTTACTACTTTTATGTTTTCTTTCTTTTCTTTTTTTTTTTTTTTTTTCTGACGGAGTCTCACTCTGTCTCCCAGGCCGGAGTGCAGTGGTGCAATCTTGGCTCACTGCAAGCTCCACCTCCCGGGTTCACGCCATTCTCCTGCCTCAGCCTCCCGAGTAGCTGGGACTACAGGCGCCCACCACCATGCCTGGCTATTTTTTTTGTATTTTTAGTAGAGACAGGTTTCACCATGTTAGCCAGGATGGTCTCGATCTCCTGACCTCGTGATCCGCCTGCCTCGGCCTCCCAAAGTGCTGGGATTACAGGCATGAGCCACTGCGCCCAGACTCTAGTTGATATTTTTACTGATTTCCAATAGCTTACTTATTTTATTTCAAAGATCAGATCTAACTGGACGTCAAATAGAGCCTGTGGACTCGCTTGGCAGCAAGCGGGGGCTACTAGCTGCACCTTTGGAGAAAGGTCAGAGGCCTTGTGCTTACAGAAGCATGTGACCAGGAAGCAGGGGAAAGATGCTTCATATCATGGCTAAGAAAATCCTACCTAGTAGGCCTGGTGCCGTGGCTTACACCTCTAATCCCAGCACTTTGGGAGGCCAAGGCGGGTGGGTCACAAGGTCAGGAGTTTGAGACCAGCCTGGCCAACATGCCGAAACCCTGTCTACTAAAAATACAAAAATTACATGGGCATGGTGGTGCACACTGGTAATCCCAGCTACTAGGGAGGGTGAGGCAGGAGAATTGCTTGAACCTGGGAGGCTGAGGTTGCAGTGAGCCGAGATTGCACCATTGCACTCTAGCCTGGGCAACAAGAAGGAAACTTTTTCTAAAAAAAAAAAAAGAAAGAAAGAAAGAAAGAAAATCCTACCTAGTAAAGTTCCTCTGTACTAGTAGCTAACCATCTTGATGTGGATCTGAGGCAGACAACTTTAAATCAGTGTTGCACCACAGCATGTGACCTTAGAGAGAAGCTGCCCCGTGCCCGCTGCTTCTGCTCTCTCCACCTCAAATTAAAAGCCCTAGGGAAGAATTCTCATTAATAAGACATGCCATTGGCAGTTACTCTTCAGTAGTCTATATTTTTCTAAATTTTTAAATTTTACCCCTTTTGTTGTTTTAAATATTACCTCTATTTGTAATACATAAAAATAGGAACAAAAATAAACATTATCTTGAATATCCATTTATATATCTCTGACATTTGGAATTTGCTTCTTTGAAAGCAATTAATTACATAAAAGGGCATTCGAAATCTTTTATTTGGTTTTTCCTATATTGCTCCATGTGGACTTAATGTTCTAGTTTTCCTTTTATTTTCCACATCATTTCAAGGGCATCAAATGAAATTGAAATATTGATTAAAAGTACATCATTTAAGTCAATTATAGAGACTAGCTACCTTTGCGGGTAGAATTACTCATTTTAAGTAGCTGAGTATAATCAGTACAGGAGACCATTTAGATGACTAAATTAAAATTTTAAAAATCTGAATCTTATATTCACATACAAATCTCACTCCTCTCTTTTACTCTATGTCAAGACTTATTTACATGCTTCAACTTATCCTAAAGATTTACATTTATTTCATAGATTTTAAATAATTATTTCATTTTACCAATATCTCCCAAGAGGCCTAGCACTGCAAGAATATTTGGGGGTCTGTCCTATAAAAGTCCTCTAAACTATGTGTTCTTTCTCTATAAAAGTCCTCTAACCTATGTGTTCTTTCTCTATAAAAGTCCTCTAAACTATGTGTTCTTTCTCTATAAAAGTCCTCTAAACTATGTGTTCTTTCTCTATAAAAGTCCTCTAAACTATGTGTTCTTTCTCTATAAAAGTCCTCTAAACTATGTGTTCTTTCTCTCATTTAACTGCACAGATAGAGTTCTTTCTTTCTCTTTTCTTTCCTTTCTTTTCTTTCCCTTTCCTTTCTTTCTTTCTCTCTCTCTCTCTCACTTTCTTTCTTTCTTTTGGTTTTTTTTTTGTTTGTTTTTTTTCAAAGTCTCACCCTGTAGCCAGGCTGAAGTGCAGTGGCACAATCTTGGCTGACTGCACCGTCCACCTCCCAGGTTCAAGTGATTCTCCTGCCTCCGCCTCCCGAGTAGCTGGGACTACAGGCGCCTGCCACCATGCCCAGCTCATTTTTGTATTTTTAGTAGAAGCAGTGTTTCACCATGTTGGCCAGCATGGTCTCGATCTCTTGACCTTATGATCCGCCCACCTCGGGCTGCCAAAGTGCTGGGATTACAGGCATGAGCCACCGCACCCGGCCTATAGAGTTCTCTCAGAGGGGAATGTGAGTATAGTTTTTTATTTTAAAAGGTGAAAACCTATTGTCACAGAATAACAAACTCATGAGTCTATAGAATATTCCCTCAAAATATCACTATTGGCTAACTGTCATAATAATGTTTAAATTAAATCTCTATATTAATAATTTATAAAGGAACATACAGATCTCTGTGCAGATATCTCCTTATAAATCACTTACATAGATTTTTCATGTCACCAGGAAAATAAGGAAAATCCTTCCTAACATATATAATATAATTATGAGGCTTTGAGTCCACGAATAGAAATCATCTATCAAAAAACTATACTATCTCAGTAAGATACAATACCACAAAAGCTTTTACACAGTAAGCATCATAATATGGCAGCCAGAATAAGCATATGTAAAATATTTTGACAAATAAAATTCCAATTCTCAATCACGTTCAAAAGAATGTACTTACATTTTTTATGTCTTAAGTTTAGTTCAGTGCTTTAGGATAACTATTGGGTAACTGGGATGCATGCCACTTTCTACTGAAAATGAGAACCAAGTATCCTTCATGCCAAAGATGGCTTTATCACTTAAAACCAGAAAAAACCTCAGACACAATAGACCCTTTTTCTAATGCCTGTGCATTGAATATCAACCACAAAAAAAGCTGAATTTTTCTGAAATTTAAATAGGAAACACTAAGTTTTCCAACAGGACAGTTTTTATTTACCTGCATGATAATATATTTTGTTCGTGTCGTATCATTAACTGACTTAAGAAGACAAAGATCAACTGATAATGAAATGCTTCAGAAAAGTCGTATTGGCAGTAAAAGAAAGCTATTGGCAAACTTCAGAAAGAGTTGTTAGACAAAATTTTTTTCTTTCATATTCTGGTAATCAAATTAAATATTTGTTTAAGAAAATTCAGTTAATCTTTGAGAAAGTACCCGAAGACCGGTCTATAGCCCGCTCTGCAGAAATCAAATTACTCTGACTGAGAAAGAATCTGTCACAGTTTTCACATTTTTAATCATCCACAAACATTACGGATTCTTTGAACTTTACCAGTATTTCATATTTGACAGGTGCATTTTTTTTAATTTTGGGAAGAGTCTAAAAGATATATAATCTTCTTTCCAGTAAGTGACATACCAACATGATGCTACGTTGTTGCCTGAAGACATTTTACTGATGCTTCTGTGTTACTTTCTCAACTTATAAAAAGAAGAAACATTTGAAATGTCCATTTGAAGATACGTTTGTTTGTTTGTTTGTCTGTTTGTTTGTTTTTGAGACAGAGTCTCACTCTCTCGCCCAGGCTGGAATGCAGTGGCACGATCTCAGCTCACTGCAAGCTCTGCCTCCCGGGTTCACGCCATTCTCCTGCCTCAGCCTCCTGAGTAGCTGGGACTACAGGCGCCCGCCACCACGCCTGGCTAATTTTTTGTGTTTTTAATAGAGATGGGCTTTCACTGTGTTAGTCAGGATGGCCTTGATCTCCTCACCTCGTGATCCATCCTCCTCGACCTCCCAAAGTGCTGGGATTACAGGTGTGAGCCACCATGCCTGGCCTGAAGATACTTCTAAACATTTAATTTTTTGGAAAAGCTAACTTATTTATGCTATTCATCACCACTTGCATAGGCCCAGCATCCTACTTAGAATTAACTGCTAGGAAATGAACTTTCTTTATCACAGTAGATGTCAACATGTTTCGTCTTTACATTCGTTATTAGAAAACTTGGAGTGAAATAAGGTATTAACTACAATAAATGAATCTAAAATAATAAACTTGTTTATTTGCTTTTTGAAAAAGAATTTCCTTGTTTTTACTCAAAAGGCATATATAGTTTCATATATACTTTAACTTTTTAATTTATCTTAAACTTTGTGATGTGGACAGGAACAATGTAATTTATTTTGGTATATATTGATCCCCAACTCTTATGTAGTACATACATCATAAATAAGTGCAAACATGCATATGTAAATAAACAGGACTATATTTCTGTAATGGGTATGTTTAGAGAACAGTTCAAAATATTAGACTGACAATAACTAGAAAGAACAATAGAGCAATATACAAATAGGAATTATGATGTAGTTTTGATAAACAGTAAAATATTGCTAATGTGCAGAAATTTATTATACAATAAAAGTGGCATTTCAAATCAGTAGAGGAGGTGATTTATTTTATAAGATAGATTGTAATAAATAAATTACCATCTGGAAAAGAAATAAAGTGAGATACATACCTCACACTTTACCCTAAAATAAATTACAGATGTTAAATACAGGATATAAGGCTAAAATAAATTGGGAAAAAAGAATTTTAAAGTTTGGAATTGGAGAAGGATTTTGTAATATGACAAAATGCTCCAATATATAAAATAAACATGTTTAATTGCATAAAAATTAAAATCTATATATAAAATAATTCCATAAACAATACAAAAAAAACTTGGAAAAAATTACAACCATTTTAATAGCTAAGGGGTTCATATTCTTAACATGTCCAGTTTTCATGAATCATCTGGGAAAAGACTAATAGTCTGGTGAACAAACGGGAAGACCATATGAAAGTGGGGGAAACCTCAATCTCACTTATAAAGGAAAAGTTACAAATTAAAACTTAATTACATAACATATTTTATCTCTCAGGTTAATACAGTTCACAAATGTTGATGACACAGTGTGTGGGTGGCACTGTGAGGAAAACATGCAGTCATGCATTACTAGTGGAAATATAGATTTATATACTATCCACTGAAGCAATTTAGGAATATTTCTTAAAATTAAAAATGCATGATTTCTTTTGCCTAATAATTTTGCTTCTAGGAATTTATCCTATGGACATACTACACACACTCTAAATGATGTCTGCACAGCAAGATTCACTTGCAAATACTTTAAATGTTCAACCGGTCAAATCAATTATGATATATTTTTATGGCCATTAAAAAGACGATGGTAACTCTTTCTGTGCTGCTGTGGAATAAAGAGAGAGAAGAAAAAAGTGTGTGTGCATGCACATGTGCTTATCTTTGTGTGAATAGATAAGTGATAAAAGAAAGGCTGAAACCAACCTGTAGGATGAAATCATTTGTGTTAAAAAAAGAAAAGGAAAACAGAAAGAAATCATGCTCAATATCTTCTCTAGGGGTGTCACTGTTTGGCTGGACTGTTCACCTGGCTACCACACACAAGTGGAAAACAAACTTTTTTTTTGAGACGGAGTCTCACTCTGTCACCCAGCCTGGAGTGCGATGGCTCGATCTCAGCTCACTGCAAGCTCCGCCTCCCAGGTTCATGCCATTCTCCTGCTTCAGCCTCCCAAGTAGCTGGGACTACAGGCGCCCGCCACCACGCCCGGCTAATTTTTTGTATTTTTAGTTTCACCGTGTTAGCCAGGATGGTCTTGATCTCCTGACCTTGTGATCCGCCTGCCTCGGCCTCCCAAAGTGCTGGGATTACAGGCGTGAGTCACTGCGCCCGGCCCCAGAAAACATACTTTTCAATTATGTGCTTTTATATCTTTGAAAATGTGTGCCGTGTGTGAGTGTAGGCAGGTGTGTGTATTAACTTTAGTAGTATTTCTGATACTTCCTTTTAGATATTTACTAAATGTTGTTTATAGGAATTTGAATTACATTATACTTACTTTACTAAATTTATTTTGTTGTATACTGAAAGAAAATTTGATGCATACCCATACTAATAAGTCTTATATATCAAAAGTTATCAAAATACTTTCATAGAATCATGAAACAGATTTTTTTTCTTATACAGGATACCTACATAACTCAGGAAAACATAGCATAGAATACATGACCCAGTTATTCAGCTTATTATGTATGTTAACTACAACAGGTCGCTGAAGCTCCATTTCCTTATTGTTAAATAGCTAAAACTTGCTCTAACACTTAATATTGTAGAGTTCAATGATAAAATGTCTGTAAAATGTCTTTGTCATCCAAAAAGAAATACAAATGAAAACTATTGTTATAAAAAATGTAAATTTTGTAGAAGGAAAATGTAATAAAGTGTATTACTCTGTTTTCACACTGCTGATAAAGACATACCCAAAACTGGGAAGAAAAAGAGGTTTAATGGACTCACAGTTCCACATGGCTGGGGAGGCCTCACAATCATGGTGAAGGCAAGGAGGAGCAGGTCACATCTTACATGGATGGTGGCAGGCAAAGAGAGAGCTTGTGCAGGGAAACTCCCCCTTTTAAAACCATCAGATCTTGAGAGACTCATTCACTATCATGAGAACAGCACAGGTAAGACCTGCCTCCATGATCCAGTCACCTCCCACCAGATCCCTGCCACAACATGGGGGAATTCAAAATGAGATTTAGGTGGAGACACAGCCAAACCATATCATTCTGCCTCTGGCCCCTCCCAAATCTCATGTCCTCACATTTCAAAACCAATCATGCCTTCCCAGCAGTCCCCCAAAGTTGTAACTCATTTCAGCATTAATTCAAAAGTCCACAGTCCAAAGTCTCATTCAAGACAAGGCAAGTCCCTTCCACCTATGAGCCTGTAAAATCAAAAGCAAGTTAGTTACTTCCTAGATACAAAGGGGTTCAGGCATTGGGTAAATACAGCCTTTCCAAATGGGAGAAATTAGCCAAAATAAAGGGGCTACAGGCCCCATGCAAGTCCAAAATCCAGCAGGGCACTCAGATCTTTAAGCTCCAAAATGACCTCCTTTGAGTCTATGGCTCACATCCAGGTCACGGTAACGTAAGAGGTAGGTTCCCATGGCCTTGGGCAGCTTCACCCTGTGGCTCTTCAGGATACAGCCTCCCTCCTGGCTCTGTGGCTCTTCAGGATACAGCCTCCCTCCTGGCTCCTTTCATGGGCTGGTGTTGAATGTCTGTGGTTTTTCCAGGTGCACAGTGCAAGCTGTCAGTGGATCTACCATTCTGAGGTCTGGAGGACGGTGGCCCTCTTTTCACAGCTCCACTAGGCAGTGCCCCAGTAGGGACTCTGTGTGGGGGCTCCGACCCCACATTGCCCTTTCACATTGCCCTAGCAGAGGTTCTTCATGAGAGCCCCACCCCTGCAGCCAACTTCTGCCTGGACAACCAGGTATTTCCATACATGCTTTGAAATCTAGGTAGAAGTTCCCAAACCTCAATGCTTGACTTCTGTGAACCCGAAGGCTCAACACCGCATGGAAGCTGCCAGGGCTTGGGGCTTTCACCATCTGAAGCAATAGCCCAAGCTGTACCTTGGCCCCTTTCAGTCACAGCTGGAGCATCTGGGAAGCAGGGCACCAAGTCCCTAGACTGCACACAACACAGGGATCCTGGGTCTGGTCCACAAAACCACTTTTTCCTCCTAGGCCTCCTGGCCAGTGATGAGAGGGTCTGCCATGAAGACCTCTGATATGCCCTGGAGATATATTCCCCATTGTCTTGGGGATTAACATTTGGCTCCTCGTTACTTATGAAATTTCTGCAGCCAGCTTGAATTTCTCCTCAGAAAATGGGAATTTTTTTTTTTTTTTTTGAGACCTAGTCTCACACCATTGCCCGGGCTGGAGTGCAGTGGCGCTATCTCGGCTCACTGTAACCTCTGCCTCCTGTGTTCAAGCAATTCTCCTGCCTCAGCCTCCTGAGTAGCTGGGATTACAGGCACCTGCCACCACGCCTGGCTAATTTTTTGCATTTTTAGTAGAAACGGGGTTTCATTATGTTGGCCAGGGCTGGTCTCGAATGCCTGACCTCGTGATCCATCCACCTCGGCCTTCCAAAGTGCTGGATTACAGGCGTGAGCCACCATGCCCAACCAGGGTTTTCTTTTCTATTGTTTTGTCAGGCTACAAATTTTCTGAACTTTTATGCTCTGCTTCCCTTTTAAAACTGAATGCCTCGACAGTACTTAAGTCACCTCTTGAATGCTTTGCTGCTTAGAAATTTCTTCTGCCAGATACCCTAAATCATCTCTCTCAAGTTCAAAGTTCAACAAATCTCTAGGGAAGGGGCAAAATGTCACCAGTGTCTTTGCTAAAACATAACAAGAGTCACCTTTGCTCCAGTTCCTACAAGTTCCTCATTTAATCTGGGACCACCTCAACCTGGACTTCATTGTCTATATCGCTATCAGCATTTGGGGCAAAGCCATTCAACAAATCTCTAGGGAGTTCCAAACTTTCCCACACTTTCCTGTCTTCTTCTGAGCCCTCCAAATTTTTCCAACCTCTGCCTGTTACCCAGTTCCAAAGTCGCTTCCACATTTTTGGGTATTTCAGCAGCACCCTACTCTACTGGTACCAATTTACTGTATTAGTCCATTTTCACACTGCTGATAAAGACATACCCGAGACTGGGAAGAAAAAGAGGTTTAATGGACTCACAGTTCCACATGGCTGGGGAGGCCTCACAATCATGGCAGAAGGCAAGGAAGAGCAAGTCACATCTTACATGGATGGTGGCAGGCAAAGAGAGAGCTTGTGCGGGGAAACTCCCCCTTTTAAAACCATCAGATCTCGAGAGACTCATTCACTATCATGAGAACAGCACAGGTAAGACCTGCCCCCATGATCCAATCACCTCCCACCAGGTCCCTCCCACAATGCGTGGGAATTCATTCAAGAAGAGATTTGGGTGGGGACACAGCCAACCCATAACATAAAGCATGTGTTCAGGGTAGATCATCAGCAAAATTAATACAGATGTTCCTATTTCCCAGTTCCCTGGTTCTGCCTCTAGGCACGTGTCCTCACACTAGCTATGCATCAGATGGAAGCTTTACTGCACTACCTCTCTCTCTGTTTCTCTCTTAGGAGATCCTGAAGAACTTGGCTAATAAATTAATTGTACCTCTGTGTTTCTTTCAAATCTCTCCAGACTACCTCCTCTATGTTAGGAAAAATATAACAGGTTAATTCTATACTCAAGAAAAATGCGTATTGTATTAGTCTGTTTTCACATTGCTGATAAAGACATAACCGAGACTGGGCAATTTTCAAAAGAAAGAAGCTTATTGGCCTTACAGTTCCACATGGCTGGGGAGGCCTCACAATCACAGTGGAAGGCAAGGAGGAGCAAGTCACATCTTACATGGATGGCAACAGGCAAAGAGAGAGCTTGTGCAGGGGAACTCCCCATTTTAAAACCATCAGAAACCCATTCACTATCACAAGAACAGCATAGGAAAGACCCACCCCATGATTCAATCATCTCCCACCGGGTCCTGCCCACAACACGTGGAATTATGGGAGCTACAAGATGAGATTTGGGAGGGGACACAGAGCCAAACCATATCACATATTTACTTATTAATAACGATGAGATTAAACTTCTTAATAAGACATAGTATCCTTTGTTCTATAATTGTGTCAGACTTTTAGGGGAGATATTTCAGGGCAGGGGAGTCTTAAAGAATCAAGGAAGATGCATGATTACCTTAGCTGACTTAAGAGAAACTACTTGCATGAAAGTAGTTAAGTTCTAAAATTGAAGCACATGTGGATAATTTTTGATACAAAAAGGTTCCATATGAATATCAAATTTTCTAAATGGAAATGACCTAATGTGATGAAAGATTGAAACAATATCACTATTAAAGTGTAACATGATTTTTAATGTCTTCCATGAAAATCTTATCTTACTAGTAATGGCCCTGGGGTTGTGAGAAAGCCATACACAGTCTTTAAAGTAAAACAATGTCTAAGTAATCTTATAATGTCTATTAGGACAAGTTTTAACATAGGCTATACTATTTTAGAAAATCTGCAGTACAGGCTAGGCACAGTGGCTCACGCTTGTAATCCCAGCACTTTGGGAGGCCAAGGTGGGCAGATCACAAGGTTGGGAGTTCAAGACCAGCCTGGCCAATGTGGTGAAACCCCATCTCTACTAAAAAAAAAAAAATACAAAAGTTAGCTGGGCATGGTGGCATGTGCCTATAATCCCAGCTACTCAGGTGGCTGAGGCAGGAGAATTGCTTGAACCTGGCAGGTGGAGGTTGCAATGAGCCAAGATGGTGCCACTGCACTCCAGCCTGGGCGACAGAGCAAGACTCCGTCAAAAGAAAAAGAAAGAGAAGAGAAGAAGAGAAGAGAAGAGAAAAGAGAAGAGAAAAATGTGCAGTATATTACCAAGCTCTTAGAATAGTAGTACTCTGTGAGTACAAGCAGGATTACCATTGAATGGCTGCAATAGAGCTTCCTTTTGGTAGACAGAACACATCACAGAGCTGAGAACAGAATAAACGTGATTACATTGATCAGGTACATTCAAATTCAGTTTTAAGGTTTTAAATGTTCACTTTTCAGGATTGGCAGCATGTATCTGATGTGTGCAAGTTTTGTTTGGGCACAAGGGTCCTTGGAAAGAAATTGGTGATGATGTCCAAATGCAGGATGACACGGATGCACTCTGGGCAGTCCAGACTCCCTTGCAGAAACACTGAGGTTAGCGCTCCACCCACTTCACGTACTGTTATGATATACGTTGTGTCCCAATGATAGCCTCCATTTCCCTCATTCTTATATGCACAACCAACTGCTTTTTACAACACCAGACCAGAAAGTGCAGAAGAGCAATATTTAATGTGATTTAATGGTAGCAATTTAGATATTTAGCTAGTTTTCTGTGAAGGGAATGGGAATTGGGGGTCAAAGACGTTTAGCCTTTCTTTTTCACTTATATGAGGCTACACCAGAGGTAAAACCCTGCCCCAGAGGATATCGACTGTTTCCTGTAATAGGTACTGATCTCTGTAATTTAGATTATTGATTTCTGAATCACATAAGACTTGGTTACGAAGACTACTGTGCTTATATTGTTATTTTCATCTTATCTAGTATCTCAGATCTGTTTCTAAACAATCTCTGGCATTCCATTTTCTAGGTGATCCTTAGAACCACCAGCCAGCCCAACATTGCTACTTATTTAATGTTCCTCTCTCAACCACGTGGGGAAATGAACAATTGAGTTGGTGTTAAACAGAAACAGAAAATAGAGAGTTCAGTTGGTGTTATCTTCATTTTGCTATTGTATGGTAAGCGTTTGCTATTCATGAAAGATGTGTCTTGAATTTGTAAATACCATTATTTTAGAGACCTACAATGAGTCATTAAGAGCTTAGCATGATTCACCGATGTAGTGGGTCCCACCTACAGACCAGCCCATGGGTCACATATACTTGGGGCATTCACATACATTATCACAAGAAACTTATTAAAAAAACCCTTGAGGCAAATGGTTTTAATACTATCCCAATTTACTTTGCAACATAGATCTCAGTGCTGCCTGTGAGAAGTAGAAAAGGAATTTTACATCCTAAAATCAAAGAATGTATAACAGACTCAATATTCATTTTTTATTTTCAGAGTAACGCAGTTATTTAGCTTCTTCTAGTGATGAACACTTTGAGAATCTGATGAACTAAAGTTATCAGATGGTCTGATGCTCAGAGCCCATTACCTCTAAATTATAAAGATCAATAAATACCCCCAATGCTTAGCGGTTGACATTTGTATAACATTTTCTACTCTTGAAGGGCCCTAGGTCTTTGTTCTTCCACTAAATATCAGTGTGACCTCCAGCAAATCATTGAACTTTTATTTGTCTCCTATTTCTTATCAAGAAAAGTATGTGTTAAATCCTTTTGGCTCTAGCATTCTATGGTGTTATCTGCACTATCTTATTTGATCCAACATCCTTCTACTCCTCACCACTGTTGCTATTTCTATAGATCCTGCTGACAATAACTATTCCCTATCTACCTCTGGTTCACTCTGTATAACTGAGAAATGACAGTCCAGTAGCAAGTACTCACACCCACGAAGCCTCACACAGTGTTCCCTGGCCTTCATTTAATAAATACATTTTTCATTACTTGGCCTTATTTTATTAATAAGCACATTTTTTTTTTACCTTTTGTCAGCAACTCTAAAGTTTTGCAGAATATTTCTCATTGAAATCTCAAATCCTGCTAGACTTCCGTGAGATAGTCACCCAGCTAGCAAGTAAGCCTGGCTATCAGCTCAGTATTCATTCCTTCACTAGCTAATGTTTGTATATTCAGTATTTGAATAGTACAAAGAGACTTTTTAAAAAAAGTAAAATTTTGTTTCATTAGGAAAAAATATTAATCAGTTGATAAATAAAGCTTAATACTTAAAAAATTTTAATGAACTACCATGTGAAAAATAACTTTTTTTTTTTTTTGAGACGGGGTCTCTCTCTGTCTCTGGGCCTGGAGTGCAGTGTCTTGATCTCGGCTCACTGCAACCTCCGCCTCTAGGGCTCAAGCAATTCTCCTGCCTCAGCCTCCCAAGTAACTGGAATTACAGGCGCACGCCACCACACCTGGCTAATTTTTGTACTTTTAGTAGAGATGGGGTTTCACCATGTTGGCCAGGCTGGTCTCAAACTCCTGACCTCAAGTGATCTACCCACCTCGTCCTCCGAAAGTGCTGGGATTACGGGTGTGAGCCACTGTGCCTGGCAAAAGTAACCTCTTTTTTTTTTTTGAGACAGAGTTTCACTCTTGTTGCCCACGCTGGAATGCAATGATGCAATCTCGGCTCACTGCAACACTGCAACCTCCGCCTCCCGGGTTCAAGCAATTCTCTTGCCTCAGCCTCCCGAGTCGCTAGATTACAGGCACGCACCACCATGCCTGGCTAGTTTTTTGTATTTTTAGTAGAGACGGGGTTTCACCATGTTGGTCAGGCTGGTCTCGAACTCCTGACCTCCAGTGATCCACCCACCTCGGCCTCCCAAAGTGCTGGGATTACAGGCATAAGTCACTGTGCCCCGCCAAAATAACCTTTTTTATTCACCATTTCTAATCCTTGTCCACCTGAGACAAGTAACAGCATGTCATGAATCCTCTAGAATTGTTTTAGGGATAATGAGAAATACATAATATTGTTTTTTGTGAAATGCATATAAAAGAATGTTTTGCACACATGGCATCAAATCATCAGATTTTGCACCTTGATTTTTATAATTTTTATGACTTCATGTCAGTACATATAGATCCTTCCCATCTTTCTAAATACTACATAGTCTTCCATAACGTGCTTAACTAAAATGTATTTGTGGTCCTCCCACACAGGGTCATGCACAACACTGTGTACCTGGCCACTGGAAGATGTGCCACACTTTTCTCTGACACTCATGTTCACAGATGGAACTGAGTCATAGAGTGTATACATAGTTCATTCTTCTAAATCTAATCCATTTTTTTAAGAGGTTTTATCAATTCTCTTTTTATCTGCAGTTGAGGAGTACACATTTCTCCCTGCCCACTTGCCCTTGACATGATCAAACAACGATATTTGGTCATCAAAGAAATTCCATTGCCATTTTAACATGTAGTCCTCAGATTATTAGTGAGATTAAGCTTATTTTTATAATTTTAAAAATAATTTTGTGTCTCATTGCACAGGTCTTTCTGAATTTGCTCTTGGTATATTTACTCATTTTCCCATATTTAGTGTCCTGTCATTTCCTTCGTAACTTACCACGTTATACTCAAAGCAAACAATATTTTCTCCAGTCTGTTATTTGTCTTTAGTTTTGTTTATGGTATCTTTTGCCACGTAGAAAATTGTAAAGAATGTTGAAAAGGCATTTAATGTAGTTGGAGGATATGCAGTGAAAACAATTCTTGATCGCAATGCGAGATAAACCCAAGAGCTTATCAAAACATATGGTTATCCGCAATATTGGTGATGTTCAAAGGTTTCAGAAGGTAACTCCCATAAATATAAAAGAATACATACATACATGTATTCCTCTTTCTAAAGTTGTAATATTGACAACCAACCTCTTCATATTAACATTATCCTCTGGTGAAGGAAAAAAAAAATGGGGCCCAAAAATTGTTGAGTCACTGATTCCTTCATATTTTTCACTAAATCATCATTGCCGTAGTAACTTCCTGTTATTTTCAACTTTGAAAATCCAGAGTGTGATTGAACAGGTCTTCATGAATACACGTATTTCAAGGGTCAACATGAAGAAAAGATTTAAGTCTGGGGACAGACAAAGAGGGTGAGTGAAAGCTTAAGGCTGCAGGTTGGTGACCATAAGGAAAGTCCACGGCCACGCCGCAAACGGCCTTGGTGGGCCCACAGTGGCATCTGAGGCATGAGAAAGGACAGCTTTGTCCACATGGAAAGTTTGTGTAAGTCCACGGCCACGCCGCCAATGGCCTTGGTGTGCCCTCAGTGGCGTCTGAGGCATGAGAAAGGACAGCTTTGTCCACATGGAAAGTTTGTTTTAGAGGATGGAGACAGACGGTATGGAAGTTGGCAAGTGGGCCAGGTGAGAGGTGTTGATGACTTGAACTCAGATTAAAGGAGTAGATATAAGGAGGAGAGAATCCTTTCAGGACACATTTATGTGACAAGAAGAATCTCCCTCCTGTTTCCCCAGAGAGGAACTGGAAGAGAGATGAGCCTTGAGTAAGATAAAAGGAGAAAGCAGGTGAGGTGGGGGAAATTTCAGCCAGAGTTCTTTGCAACTAGAGTACTGCATCCTTTGGTGCTATGTTCATGCCTCAGCAGTGGATTATTTTCCTATTCTCAGTTTGTGTTTGCGTTTGAACCAGAGTGAGGGGGTCACGGGGGGGTACATGACTGAAAGCAGCTGGATGAAGGAGAAGAAACACTCTTCCACCAGCACTAACTCAGGTGTAGAAAGAACGTAGCAAAGTAGAGAGCAGTCAGGCAAATGGTCCCCTTCCTTTTCATGTGTTTAGACAAAAGGTCACAAACTCCTTACCCATTGACTAAATCCTCCTCACAGAAATTATTTGTTTGATCTGCACAATATTTAACCTTTTGAGTCAACATACAAGCAATTCCAATGAGGACTGCAGGCTTCTATTTAAGAACTGGAAGTTTTGGAACCCTGGCCCTCCCTCCCACATACCAGCAAGCAGTGAAGCTGAAGGGGCTACTCTCATTCCTCCCAGAGTTCTACACAGTTCCTCACACCTGGCCACACAGCTTCCTGCTTACACTTCACTACCTCAGTGAGTTTCTGTTTGCTGGTTTGCTGTTGTTGAATTTTTTTTGTTTTATCTGCCTGACTTCAGTAAGCATTTGAGTCTAGAGAATCCGTAAGATAAGGATCAATGTTCATCTTTGGTATATGTCTGTGTGTATAAAAATATATATTTAATAGTTACTAATAAATACAAGATAAAGAGAAAGGTCTTCTGCTTACCATCATTCTCAAAGAGAAACAGGCTTTAAGTGTCTCTGGCTAACCTAGATGCTTCTGTGAAGCCGCCGCCCCACATGACAAGTGGTCTTCGGAGTGACACACAGGACCAGAAGTAACTGCAGATGACCTGTAGAAGCTTTCCCCACCACTATCACCAGGGGCACCTTCTAGAATAAATAACTCGGCCCTGGGAACTCCTGCTGAAGAAGGGAGGAATCTGTGTCTGAGGCACGTCTAGTCTTGACAGTAGGGAGCAGAGAGTCCTGATAGCAGGTGGTGAGTGTGAGGGAGAAGACAGAAACAGGCCTTCCGGAGGGCAGGGGATCAAGGATAGGAACCGAGTGTGCTCACTCAAAGACTCTGGAATCTATCAACTCTTGAGATGTTTTTACCCTGGAATATTGGCAAAAATCATATGTTCTGTATAGTTTTGTGTGTTTGGCGTTTTTGTGTACTTGCTTGTTGTGTTTTTTTTTTTCCCTGAGATGGAGTCTTGCTCTGTTGCCCAGGCTGGAGTGTGCAATAGTGCCATCTCAGCGTACTATAACCTCTGCCTCCCAGGTTCAAGAGGTTCTCCTGCCTCAGCCTCCCAAGTAGCTAGAACTACAGGCACGCCCAGCTAATTTCTGTATTTTTAGCAGACACGGGATTTCACCATGTTGGCCAAGATGTTCTCCATCCCCTGACCCTGTGATCTGCCCATCTCGGCCTCCCAAAGTGCTGGGATTACAGGCGTGAGCCACCGCGTCTGGCCTTGTTTTTTATAGGCACTGGGATTACAGGCGTGAGCCACCGCGCCCGGCCTTGTTTTCTACAGGCACTGGGATTACAGGCGTGAGCCACCGCACCCGGCCTTGTTTTCTACAGGCATGGCAGCATTGTGCACATCTGCATTTTAGTTACCTACAGATATATCTTGGCTGCTTTCTATATCCTTACACAGACAGGGGCCTTAACAATGTTTCCACCCCTTTTTATATTCCAAGTATTAAATGAATATGCTGTAATTTACGTAACCAGTTTTTTTTTTTCTTAACAATGTGGGAATGGAAGAGGGCAGAAGGCCTCTTTGGTGCTATGATGTTCCTAGATAATCAGTATGTTTGTAGGAGACGCTAGACATCCCCTGCTAGACGGCAAGCTGGTATTGTGAAAGACAAAGCACCAAACTATAAAAAGACATGTGGTCCACTCTGACAGCCACCTCTCTTCTTGTAACATATCTGTACCCCTTCCTGGTGCAAAGAGTGTGCTGGTATGATTCTCTGGGAATATTCTGGTAACTATTAATTGAGGTGGGTAATTGGACAGATGTGGAAGCAAGGAAGAAAAGTGTTCTAGAACCACCTCTAGGTTCTAGGCTTGGAGGATGTTGCACATTTGACATGCCACTAAAACTCCTGCCCTAAATGGAGAAGATTCAGGATTCTTCCAGCTCCTCAGGCCGAGGGACACACACGATTTTGGCTCTACATGGAAGGAGTGTTGTTGTTTCTTCTAGACTGGGCACACACTCCTGGAGTCACTTTCTCTGCACGGGGTACAGTGGGATTGACTCTGGGCAGCATTCAGAGGATGAAATCGTTATTTTACTCCTCTACTCTTTCACGCATTTGTTAGCTACTACTTGCTTCCTGGACTTGCCATTTACATTCTTCCCAGTGCCTATGCATTCATGTTGCCAATTGCCTATGAAAATTGACCCGGGCTCATTCTCTGGAAGTGCCCCACTGCTCCAAATTCACATCTGCTTTCCACTGAAAACTCCACTTCTTTCCTCTTGACAAATCGCAGCTGAGAAGGAAGGTTTCTTGGAATGACTACCATATCTTGCTTCACCTTCCGAGAAATGCTCGCCCTTAATAGCCTACATGAATGTCATCATGGGTGCATCTCTGGCTGTGAGACAGAGGGAGGAGTTGTAGCAAGGGCAGAGACACACGGCCGGGCTCTAGAAAGCTTCCCAACTTCTTTAAATTGGCCCAAACTGAGGACATGTTTCTGGTCCTGCTGGCTCCCACCAGACTCTGCTGGTCAGTGCTGACCCAGCAGTGAGAACACCAATACTGATGTTACCCGTTGTACGCTCACCCGATTCACACGCTTTCAAGGATACATTTTCCAGTTTCTCCGCTGTGAGGACACTTTGTTTATCACCCCCAGTTCTCACTAAGTTCTTATTATTTCACTCTGAATTAACATCTTGGCAATAGGTTAAACAGGAAATAGAGCACAACATTGTAAACCCTGCTTCTGACACCAGCTCAAGGAAACATTCAGTAGCAGGAGGGTATGGTCACAAAAAAATTACTTTTGAATATTTGCATATTTAAACTATAGAAGTTCTCTGAGTTCCCCATTTGGATAAGCAATCCAGAATTATTTACATTTGGCTCTTTGAATACTAAATCTAATCTTTTCTGGCATAAATGGTCTCAACATGTGTATGAGGTGTCATAGCAGTGATATAATAAATTCAGATGATTTGTATATTCAAAAAGGCTTGAATTACTATGTGAGAATTACAATATAATTGCAAGAATGTGGTATCAATGTGTGAGACTAAATTTTACTGACAGACCTGGAAAATAGTTACAATAACAATGTAAATGTATATAATGAAAACATTGACCTTGTTTGAAAAACAGGGAACATGTGTGACACGTAAGTGTACCAAGAATGTGGAAAATATGAAGAAAGTTATTCTGGCTACAAATGTTTAGAATACATAACTTTACAGATTCATGTATTCTACAGAAGTTTCATGGGTTCAGGTATTGTATTCATATATAATTAGATTTTTTTGTATTCTTAAAAGGCTAACATTTGGCCGGGCGCGGTGGCTCACGCCTGTAATCCCAGCACTTTGGGAGGCCGAGGCGGGCGGATCACGAGGTCAGGAGATCGAGACCATCCCGGCTAAAACGGTGAAACCCCGTCTCTACTAAAAATACAAAAAATTAGCCGGGCGTAGTGGCGGGCGCCTGTAGTCCCAGCTACTCGGGAGGCTGAGGCAGGAGAATGGCGTGAACCCGGGAGGCAGAGCTTGCAGTGAGCCGAGATCGCGCCCCTGCACTCCAGCCTGGGCGACAGAGCGAGACTCCGTCTCAAAAAAAAAAAAAAAAAAAAAAGGCTAACATTTCAGTAACACTTTTTCATTTAGTTGGAATAAATTTTATTTCCTTTGCCTCTTGTTGACTCCTAAAAAACAGTCATTCCTTAGAGTGACTCAATCCCTTGTATTTTTTTTCAAAGCCATTTTCAATACTATTATCTCATTTTAGACATTTACATATGATATACATAGTAGGGCGTGTGTTTTCATTTTACAGATATAGAAATTGATGCCCAAAAAGTTATGTGTCTTGCCTGAGGCACTAAAATCAGTATTAGAACCTTATTTTCTCCTTTTTCCGACTGAATAAATTTTCCACGGGATTATATTGCATTTTGGAATAACATTTCATTATATATATAGAGAGAGAATTAAAATAGTATATGTATAAAGACCTCACATGTCTATCAAATATTATAGTTAAAATCTACTATTTGAGCTGTTGCAATAATTAAAAGAGTTTAATTTATTCACTTCTCTTTCTCTCTTCTTGTATTTCTCATGAATGCCTTTTATACCTATATTTCTCTTAAAAAATCCATTTTTCAGATAACATCTGTGTTTCACTGTATACAATTTTATTTTCTTGGTCTCTTTCTCTCTCCTTCTGCTTTATCATTTTTAAAAGAAAAATCAAATACCCCAGCCTGTGACTTATCTTTCGGCACAAAAAAAAAAAAACTAAACATTTGCACAACTATGGAATATTATGTCACTTTGATTGGGGATAGTATTTAGTCATATTTTAGAAGACAAATATAAATGCTTTATCCGATCAAGCAACCCAGGAAGTTGAGATAATGTGCAGAGAAGTGTGCTTAAGATAAACACAATATATATTGTTACTAATGATACAACTAGACCCATAAGTAAATGCCTCCTCAGAATCACAAAGTGTTTTAAAAATAACATCTGTAATCTCCATTAGAAAGAAATACCCGTAATAGGATAAGCAGAGCTATAAGTGAATTATATGTACTTTTTCTCTTCAGTCACCTCCAAAATCTAGAACAACATCATTTTTTACCTGAACTGGTTTCCCTAATTCCATTATTACTTGTCTCTAAAATACTTTTATACTGGCCCTATGATGATCTTTGTGAATTGAAAGGTGATCCTCTCACTCTTCTTCAATTATACATCTCAACATCAGGCCTAACTCCATTATCAGTTTTCCATCATAATGACTAAATGTATGTTGCAGCTATCCTGAACCAATAGCTCCTTCTGACTGGAACACACACTCTCTTCCAGGACCTTATGCTATTAGCTCCTATTTGGACATCAGGTAATCTACAACATCTCTGTCTTCCAGGACCTTATGCTATTACCTCCCAGTTGCACATCACGTAATCTACAACACCTTTGTCTTCCATGACCTTATGCTATTACCTCCTATTTGGACATCATGTAATCTACAACCCTCTCTCTTCCAGGACTTTATGCTATTACCACCTATTGGACATCAGGTAATCTACAGCCCTCTCTTTTCCAGCACCTTATGATATTACCTCCCATTTGGACATCAGGTAAACTACAGCCCTCTCTTCCAGGACCTTATTCTATTACCTCCTATTTGGACATCAGGTAATCTAAAACACTTTTGTCTTCCGGGACCTTCTGCTATTACCTCCTATTTGGAAATCAGGTAATCTACAACACTTTTGTCTTCCAGGACCTTATGCTATTACCTCCTACTTGGACATCAGGTAATCTACAACACTTCTGTCTTCCAGGACCTTATGCTATTACCTCCTATTTGGACACCAGGTAATCTACAACAACTTTGTCTTCCAGGACCTTACGCTATTACCTCCTACTTGGACATCAGGTAATCTAAAACACCTTTGTCTTCCAGGACCTTCTGCTATTACCTCCTATTTGGAAATCAGGTAATCTACAACACCTTTGTCTTCCAGGACCTTATGCTAGTACCTCCTACTTGGACATCAGGTAATCTAAAACACCTTTGTCTTCCAGGACCTTCTGCTACTACCTCCTATTTGGAAATCAGGTAATCTACAACATCTTTGTCTTCCAGGACCTTATGCTATTACCTCCTACTTGGACATCAGGTATTCTAAAACATCTTTGTCTTCCAGGACCTTATACTATTACCTCCTATTTGGACATCAGGTAATCTACAAAACCTTTGTCTTGCAGGACCTTATGCTATTAACTCCTATTTGGACATAAGGTAATCTACAACACCTGTATCTTCCCGGAGCTTATAGTATTACCTCCTATTTAGAAATCAGGTAATCTACAACGCTCTCTCTTCCATGGCCTTATGCTATTTCCTCCTATTTGGACATCAGGTAATCTACAACACCTTTGTCTTCCAGGATCTTATGCTATTACCTCCTCTTTGGACATCATGTAATCTACAACCCTCTCTCTTTCAGGACCTTATGCTATTACCTCCTATTTGGACATCGGGTAATCTAAAGCCCTCTCTCTTCCAGTACCTTACGATATTACCTCCTATATGGACATGAGGTAATCTACAGCCCTCTCTTCCAGGACCTTATTCTATTACCTCCTATTTGGACATCCGGTAACCTACAACAACTTTGTCATCCAGAACCTTATGCTATTACCTCCTATTTGGACATCAGGTAATCTACAACACCTTTGACTTCCAGGACCTTATGCTATGACCTCTTATTTGGAAATCAGGTAATCTACAACACCTTTGTCTTCGAGGACCTTATGCTATTACCACCTGTTTGGACTTCAGGTAATCTACAACACCTTTGTCTTCCAGGACCTTAAGCTATTACCTCCCATTTGGACATCAGGTCATCTACAACCCTCTCTCTTCCAGGACCTTATGCGATTACCTCCTACTTGCACATCAGATAATCTACAACCCTCTCTCTTCCCGGGCCTTATGCTCTTACCTCCTATTTGGACATGAGGTAATATAAAACCCTCTCTCTTCCAGGACCTTATGTGATTACCTCCTACTTGGACATCAGGTAATCTACAGCCCTCTCTCTCCAATGACCTTATCCTATTACCTCCTATTTGGACACCAGGTAATCTACAGCCCTCTCTTCCAGGACATTATGCTATTACCTGCTATTTGGACATCAGGTAATCTACTGCCCTCTCTCTTCCGTGATCTTATGCTATTTCCTCCTATCTGGATATCAGGTAATCTACAACACCTTTGTATCCCAGGACCTTATGCTATTACCTAATATTTGGACATCAGATGATCTACAACCCTCTCTCTTGCAGGATCTTATGCTATTACCTCCTATTGGACATCGGGTAATCTACAACCCTCTCTCTTCCAGGACCTTATGCTATTACCTCCTATTTGGACATCAAGTAATCTACAACCCTCTCTTCCAGGACCTTATGCTATTACCTCCTATTTGGATATCAGGTAATCTACAGCCCTCTCTCTTCCAGCACCTTATGCTATTACCTCCTATTTGGACATCAGGTAATCTACAACACCTTTGTCTTCCAGGACCTTATGCTATTACCTCCTATTTGGATATCAGGTAATCTACAGCCCTCTCTCTTCCAGCACCTTATGCTATTACCTCCTATTTGGACATCAGGTAATCTACAACACCTTTGTCTTCCCGGACCTTATGCTATAACCTCCTATTTGGACATCACGTAATCTACAACACCTTTGTCTTCAAGGACCTTATGCTATTACCTCCTAATTGGACATCACGTAATCTACAACCCTCTCTTCCAGGACCTTATGGTATTACCTCCTATTTGGATATCAGGTAATCTATAGCCCTCTCGCTTCCAGCACCTTATGCTATTACCTCCTACTTGGACATCAGGTAATCTACAACACCTTTGTCTTCCAGGACCTTATGCTATTACCTCCTATTTGGACATCAGGTAGTCTACAACACCTTTGTCTTCGAGGACCTTATGCTATTACCTCCTATTTGGATATCAGGTAATCTAACAAAACCTATATCTTCCAGGACCTTATGCTATTCCCTCCTATTTGGACATCAGGTAATCTACAACAACTTTGTCTTTGAGGACCTTATGCTATTGCCTCCTATTTGGACATCAGGTAATCTACAACACCTGTGTCTTCCAGGACCTTACGGTATTACCTCCTATTTGGACATCAGGTAATCTACAACCCTCTCTCTTCCATGACTTTATGCTATTTCCTCCTATTTGGACATCAGGTAATCTACAATACCTTTGCCTTCCAGGACCTTATGCTGTTACCTTCTATTAGAACATCATGATATCTACAAACCTCTCTCTTCCAAGACCTTATGCTATTACCTCCTACTTGGACATCAGGTTATTTTAAGCCCTCTCTCTTCCAGCACCTTATGATATTACCTCCTATTTGGACATCAGGTAATCTACAGCCCTCTCCTCCAGGACCTGATTCTATTACCTCCTATTTGGACATCAGGTAATTTACAGCCCTCTCTTCCAGGACCTTATTCTATTACCTCCTATTTGGACATCAGGTAATCTACAACAACTTTGTCTTCCAGGACCTTATGCTATTACGTCCTATTTGGACATCATGTAATCTACAACACCTTTGTCCTCCAGGACCTTATGCTATTTCCTCCTATTTAGACATCAGGTAATCTACAACACCTTTGTCTTCCAGGACCTTATGCTATTACCTCCTATTTGGACATCAAGTAATCTACAACACCTTTGTCTTCCAGGACCTTATGCTATTTCCTGCTATTTGGACATCAGGTAATCTCCAACACCTTTGTTTTCGAGGACCTTATGCTATTACCTCCTATTTGGACTTCAGGTAATCTACAACACCTTTGTCTTCCAGGACCTTATGCTATTACCTCCCATTTGGACATCAGGTCATCTGCAACCCTCTGTCTTCCAGGACCTTATGCGATTACCGCCTACTTGGACACCGGATAATCTACAACCCTCTCTCTTCCCGGACCTTATGCTCTTACTTCCTATTTGGACATCAGGTAGTATACAACCCTCTCTGTTCCAGAACCTTATGTGATTACCTCCTATTTGGACATCAGGTAGTCTACAAGACCTTTGTCTTCCAGGACCTTATGCTATTACTTCCTATTTGGACATCCGGTAATGTACTACCCTCTTTCTTCCAGGACCTTATGCTATTTCCTCCTATTTGGACATCAGGTAATCCGCAACACCTTTGTCTTCCAGGATATTATGCTATTACCCCCTATTTAGAAATCATGTAATCTACAACCCTCTCTCTTACAAGGACCTTATGCTATTACCTCCTATTTGGACATCAGGTAATCTACTGCCCTCTCTTCCAGGACCTTATGCTATTAACTCCTATTTGGAACTCAGGTAATCTACAACACCTTTGTCTTCCAGGACCTTATGCTATTACCTCCTATTTGGACATCAGGTAATCTACAACACCTTTGTCTTCGAGGACCTTATGCTATTATCTCCTATTTGGATATCAGGTAATCTAACAAAACCTTTATCTTCCAGGATCTTATGCTATTCCCTCCTATTTGGACATCAGGTAATCTACAACAAGTTTGTCTTTGAGGACCTTATGCTGTTGCCTCCTATTTGGACATCAGGTAATCTACAACACCTTTGTCTTCCAGGACTTTATGCTATTACCTCCTATTTGGACATCAGGTAATCTACAACACCTTTGTGTTCAAGGACTTTATGCTATTATCTCCTATTTGGACATCAGGTAATCTACAACCCTCTCTCTTCCATGACTTTATGCTATTTCCTCCTATTTGGACATCAGGTAATCTACAATACCTTTGCCTTCCAGGACCTTATCCTGTTACCTTCTATTAGAACATCATGTAATCTACAACCCTCTCTCTTCCAGGACCTTATGCTATTACCTCCTACTTGGACATCAGGTTATCTTAAGCCCTCTCTCTTCCAGCACCTTATGATATTACCTCCTATTTGGACATCAGGTAATCTACTGCCCTCTCTTCCAGGACCTTATGCTATTAACTCCTATTTGGAACTCAGGTAATCTACAACACCTTTGTCTTCCAGGACCTTATGCTATTACCTCCTATTTGGACATCAGGTAATCTACAACACCTTTGTCTTCGAGGACCTTATGCTATTATCTCCTATTTGGATATCAGGTAATCTAACAAAACCTTTATCTTCCAGGAGCTTATGCTATTCCCTCCTATTTGGACATCAGGTAATCTACAACAAGTTTGTCTTTGAGGACCTTATGCTGTTGCCTCCTATTTGGACATCAGGTAATCTACAATACCTTTGTCTTCCAGGACTTTATGCTATTACCTCCTATTTGGACATCAGGTAATCTACAACACCTTTGTGTTCAAGGACTTTATGCTATTATCTCCTATTTGGACATCAGGTAATCTACAACCCTCTCTCTTCCATGACTTTATGCTATTTCCTCCTATTTGGACATCAGGTAATCTACAATACCTTTGCCTTCCAGGACCTTATGCTGTTACCTTCTATTAGAACATCATGTAATCTACAACCCTCTCTCTTCCATGACTTTATGCTATTTCCTCCTATTTGAACATCATGTAATCTACAACCCTCTCTCTTCCAGGACCTTATGCTATTACCTCCTACTTGGACATCAGGTAATGTAATGCCCTCTCTCTTCCAGCACCTTATGATATTACCTCCTATTTGGACATCATGTCATCTACAGCCCTCTCTCTTCCATGATCGTATGCTATTAAATCCTATTTGGACATCAGGTAATCTACTGCCCTCTCTCTTCCCGGACCTTATGCTCTTACCTGCTATTTGGACATCAGGTAATATGCAACCCTCTCTGTTCCAGAACCTTATGCGATTACATCCTATTTGGACATCAGGTAGTCTACAAGACCTTTGTCTTCCAGGACCTTATGCTATTACCTCCTATTTGGACATCAGGTAATCTACAATACCTTTGTCTTCTAGGACCTTATGCTATTACCTCCTATTTGGACATCAGGTAATATAATAACACCTTTGTCTTCCAGGACTTTATGCTATTCCCTCCTCTTTGGACATCAGGCAATCTACAACACCTTTGTCTTCCAAGACCTTATACTATTACCTCCTATTTGGACATCGGGTAATTTACAACACCTTTGTCTTCCAGGACCTTATGCTATTACCTCCTATTTGGACATCAGGTAATCTACAACACCTTTGTGTTCGAGGACCTTATGCTATTACCTCCTATCTGGACATCAGGTAATCTACAACACCTTTGTCTTCCAGGACCTTATGGTATTCCCTCCTATTTGGACATCAGGTAATCTACAACGCTCTCTCTTCCATGACCTTATGCTATTTCGTCCTATTTGGACATCAGGTAATCTACAACACCTTTGTCTTCCAGGACCTTACGCTGTTACCTCCTATTTGGACATCATGTAATCTACAACCCTCTCTCTTCCAGGACCTTATGCTACTACCTCCTATCTGGACATCGGGTAATCTAAAGCCCTCTCTCTTCCAGCACCTTATGCTATTTCCTCCTATTTGGACATCAGGTAATCTACAACACCTTTGTCTCCCAGGACCTTACGCTATTACCTCCTATTTGGACATCAGGTAATCTACACCCCTCTCTCTTCCATGACCTTATGCTATTTCCTCCTATTTGGATATCAGGTAATCTACAACTCCTTTGTCTCCCAGCACCTTATGCTTTTACCTCCTATTTAGACATCAGGTAATGTACACCACCTTTCCCTGAAAAATACAGCGTGGGTAGAATGTGCTGGTAACACACGGAATGATTCCCTATCTTGTAGTTTATCTCACTAATTGGGATGATTTCCTTATCTTTTTACCCACTTGGCTAGAAGCTCTTCATGATTACACAATGACTTGTTCATCATTGTATCACGGAATCTAACAAATACACCTTCAATAAATATTAGATTAATCAATGAATGTCCATAGCTACATTTTATTTCACTGTTATGAACTGTGAAAACCTTAGCAAATACAGTTGCTATCTTCATCATGGACACTGCATGTAGAGAATGTAGGTCACCTCTGGCCAGTTAAATTTGTGCATATTTATGTGATGGGACGTGGAGAGAAAATGAGGGAGGAGTAAAATTAAAATAATGTATGTATAGATACCTTGTTTGATATGTATACCAAGTATTATAGTTAAACTCTACTATTTGAGCTATTGCAATAGATAAAATAGTTGTAGTTTTATTCTCACTCTGAACTTTAGATGTGTGCTATATACATTACATTTCCCAAATTATTTCAGTTTTAATTATAACACAGAAGACAATAAAACCAAAGGAAATATTACATGAATTATTAATACAATACAATGAAATAGCATAAGACAACATATTTTAAAACAGGTATTTGTGGCTTAATAATAGTATTCCCGATCAGGTTTCTGTCAGGGCTAAACTGAAACTAGTAAAATAATATGTCTGCTTTATGGAAGAGCATTGATAAAACATTTTCATGACTGATGATAAATTTGAGCTAGCTTACTAAAAAACAAATTATTCAGCTACACAGTGATGTTCCCATAGAACATGTTTGCATGATCCTCAAGTTCACTGCTAGAGAGACTCGAAATAATAATCAGGTCATAAAGCCAGAGAAAGGCATTTTAGATTGCCATATATTAATAATTTGCACTGAGAAGTTTAAGAATTACAATAGAGGCTGAGCTTTAGTAATCCTTCTTGGCTAAGAATGGGAATAATTAGGAAGGCTTCAAACAGTCTGTCTCTGTAAAGTTCAGCATCGTAAATGGGAGAGAGCAAGAACATCGGAAGTTGTTCAATGGCTTCAGTGAACAGATCTAGTCAAGCAAGTTTCACCCTCTGACACAAACTGGGTTTTCCTGATGAAAATTGAAGCTCCTTTTGCAAAGAGCATTTTGATTCTTGCATACTTTTCACCTGCTTGAACAAATCGTATTGCTAAGTAGTGATGTACCTGCCTTAAATCACTTGGCCTTTCAAATTTGTTATTCATTTAGAAGCAAACTGGAAATCTTTTCAAAGTGAGCCAAAAGACAGTATTTCAAATGTTTATATTAATTTTATAACTTTTCCATAAATTATATATGGAAATAATAATAATATATATTATATATAATTCAAGGCAGAATCTTGATTATATTTGAAAAACTAAGTCATTCAATTGTCAGAGGAGCCTTGAACCTTGAAACTGAATTTCTGAAATCTTGAATCTGAATTTCTGAAACATATCACTATCGCTTCCACTGAATTATGTATGTCTGTAAGATATTTTCAACTAAACATGTTTACAGAATTTTCATTTTATTACAGTAAATGAAACCCCTTATCTGGAGTTTTGCTTTTTGAGGTTTCAGTTACTAGAAGTCAGCATGGGCTGAAAATAGGTGATTACAGCACTATAGTATACTTGGAGAGAAGGAGACCACATTCACATAATTTTATTACAGTTTTTTTATAATCGTCCAATTTATTAGATACTGTGAGTCTCCTACTGTGCCTAATTTGTAAATTAAACTTTATTAAAGACATGTATGCATAAGAAAAAACATAGTATATGTAGGGTTCAATACTGTCCGGGACTTCAGACAATTACTGAGGGTCTTGGAATGTATCCCCATGGATAAGAGGGGGCTACTGTATTCTACTCCAAAATAATCCTTATCAGCATTAGGAAGAACAAAATCAATTCGAGTTAATGTAGGAAACCACTCACTTCACAATTTGGATATCTGCTTTTTCACACTCTTGGCAACTTCAGAAGTGTGCTCCTGGCTTGTGAGCAAGACAGCAATAAATCAATTCCAACTAGTACTTGACATAACTCAGACCCAACCTGGAAATCTTATGACGAGCATCCAGTCACCTTGAGCAAGTCCAGCTGCTAAGGGACCTTTTCTGAGCACTGGAGTTACCCTCACGTCTACTGAAGCCGGATTCCGAAAGGTGTCTGCTACCATGCATGATTCACTCAGCACACTCACTCAGGAGCCCAGATCCATGAAGAAGGAAGCATTTTAAAAAGTCTTGGCTGGGCGCAGTGGCTCATGCCTGTAATCCCAGCACTTTGGGACGTGGAGGCGGGAGGATCACGAGGTCAGGAGATCGAGACCATCCTGGCTAACACGGTGAAACCCCGTCTCTACTAAAAATACAAAAAATTAGCCAGGCATGGTGGTGGGTGCCTGTGGTCCCAGCTACTCCAGAGGCTGAGGCAGGAGAATGGCATGAACCCGGGAGGTGGAGCTTGCAGTGAGCCAAGATCGCACCACTGCACTCCAGCCTGGGCAACAGAGCGAGACTCCATCTCAAAAAAAAAAAAAAGTCTTAAAAGGACTATTCATTCAAACTAACCAATGCTAGCGATTTGACTATTACACTTTAAGCTCTCTAATAAGTTTGGATGATGTGAAGAATGTTCAGCTTTATTACATATATCTAAAAGTTGTAGAAAGGCTTTCCACATGTCCTCAAAAATAAGACAAGGCAATTTTGTAGCACCACTTCAGTAATTTTCACCAAGGCATTTATTGAAAATATTCAGGTTGAGAATTGTTCCTGTGCTTTTCTAATAAAGAGTAGTCTCTAGTACAGAAGCATATCCTCCTTTTCTTCTTTCTTCTGAAAAATACAGGTAGGAAGATAAATACTTAACCCTTAAACTCTGTTTGTGTGTGTGTGTGTGTGTGCATACATTTTAGAAACACCTAACGGTTTTAGTTTCCAGGAGTAAACTACCACTGTTGAAATCAATAAGTGATACAGTGGCATTCCCGTCTGACATGGGATGTCAATTGAAAGCTTCTTGGATTAAGCAACGATTCAAGGAAACACAAACACACATGCAAAACACACTAAGGGAAAGAAGTAAAGAAGAAAAGAAGTAAAAGCAGAAATTGCTTTCTGTCATATTTCCCATATAAATTAATGAGTTATTGTAAAGTTCCTAATGGTTCTTTGGATGGTAGGTCTTATAATCCCAATAAAATATTTATTTCATTATGAGATTTGTTATTATTTTCTGAATTTACCAAGATTTTGCAGTGGTGCTTTCTCTTAGTACTTCTTGGATGTGACTTATGGCCTCTCTATTAAATTTCATATATTTCAAACACGTAGATAATTAACAATCAACTGATACTTGACCAAAATCTCAGAGTATGATTGTCTATAGGAATAAGAATAGTACTTATTCTAGATCAATTATGTTTCACAATATGGGACCCATTAAATCTTTGTTATTGCATTTCTTCCAAAATTATGAATAAAATGCCTGGAGATTTCCTGTTAGTCCAATTTGAAGAGCTGTCAATGTTTTATAAGCTACTTATTCTCCACCTTTCTGATGCTACTAAATAGCTTCAGAGCACACACAAGAATATTATCCTTCTTGTACTTCTGAGTTAGGATTGCTTGAACGAAGAGCTACACAGAGGAGTTTCAGAAGTACTAAAGTCCTCTCTTTTTTTTTTTTTTTTTTGACAGAGTCTCGCTCTGTCAACCAGGCTGGAGTGCAGTGGCATAATCTCAGATCACTGCAACCTCCACCTTCCGGGTTCAAGTGATTCTCCTGCCCCAGTCTCCTGAGTAGCTGGGATTACAGGTGTACACGACCAAGCCCAGCTAATTTTTGTATCTTTAGTAGAGATGGGGTTTCACTATGTTGGCCAGGCTGGTCTCGAACTCCTGACCTCATGATCCTCCCACCTCAGCCTCACAAAGTGCTGGGATTACAGGCCTGAGCCACTGTGCCTGGCCTAAAACGCTCCTTGAGGCTAAAAATACTTCCCCCGTGCCACCCGTGTTATTTTGAAGCTAAAATAAACTTCCTTAGAAGATCTGAAATGTCACCATTGGTATGAGTCTTTCAAGAAAACAGGACATAGTGTCTCTAGAGTGTTATCTAAGTAGAATAAATAGTGTATATGGGGATATCTGTATAAACTCTTCACCCAGATAGCCCACTCTAGCCGGGGGCAAGTCTAGGAATTAGAAAGCTTTTTGGTATTTTGAATATAAATCCTCACATTTTCTTTCACATCCTCCATGTCTTTCTGTCTCACTTCACTCTTCTTTTCCTTCTGTCTCCTAAAATGTTCAGCGCTGTCCAATCCCTTCATTCCATCACCATGTCCTGACGCATTGTTCTCTAGGCACAGACCTTTCACATTCCCCAGTATTCTTCCTCCCCAAATCTGGCCATTTCCCCACCTATCTCCTAGGACCATCTTCCAAGCCAGACAGTGCTCCCCCGCTCAAAGGATTTTCTTCATCTTCCACTTTCTCCAAGTCTTCCGGCTAGTCACCCTCCCCTTCTGAAACAGGACTCCCTCATGCTCTCTGGACTCTGGGCTTTCTTGCTTTGTCTCATTGGCCTCTGTCTTCTTACTGGTAAATCTTTGACCTGCTGATCCTTACTCATGGGAATCTTACAGGGTCTGCCCTGGGCCAAGCACTCTGTTTTCCCTATTAACATATCCACTTTCTTTACTCAAATGACTTTTCTACTAATATCATTTTTTGCCCTACCCTCACATCTGGGCCCCTTCACAATATTTCTTTTTCTGTTGAATATGACCTTGATATTTCAAGCTCAGCACATCCTGAACAATTCATTTTTTCCATCCCATATCCATCTTTCGAATGTCTCTATTTTTTTTTTTTTGGTACTTCTATATTTGTCACAAGTTCCCTGGCCAAAAGACTCAGATTCACTACATATTATTGTGATTATCTTCCTTCATCACTTATTTTCCATTTGTTAGTGGGTCCTGTTGTTTCTTCCTTTAAAGTTCTTTTAGGGATCAGGCCCTTTTATTTCATCTCCATTGCTACAACCTGGTGCCATACGCCAGTTCTGCCCAGTCAGTCGCCATCATTCTGCACATTTGCCCAAATAGTCTAATTCAAAAGGCCACTTTCTGTATATCCTCCTCAGGATTCAGACCCCTTTTCTCAGATATTAAGACCTTATCCTTACTCAGCACAGACAATTCTGAACCTGCATCTTCACTCCTAACAACAAAGGCACATTTGCTATTTGCTTTCCTTTCCTTATTATTATGTCTAATATGAATTATTTACATTTTACATCAAGTTTTCGGGGTGTGTGTGTGTGCGTGTGTGTGTGTGTGTGTGTAAAACAGATGAGTCTGGCACCAAAGGGTGAACATTGGTCACAGGTTGGGGAAGAGAAACTATAAGGATTTGGTACATTGGTATATTTCTTTTCACACAGGAGTATGTTTTTTCTCGTTTGACTCTTTGTAGGAAATACGGCTTTCAAATCAAGGTTTGTAATAATGAGGTGTAAGGGAGGGAAGTCAGTGATTCTGATTTAAAACTCGTACTCAGGCTTTAAAATGTTTTAAACGTAATGATGTTTAAACATTCTTTTTTAAAAAAAAAAAACTTTCCAAACTAGCAACAGAATTAACTAAGAGCAATGTCAGATATAAAGATTATTTGCAATTTTGGTATTATTACTGTTTCCACATGAGACTGTATTCAAGTTCAAGAATAAATTCAGCAGAAAAATGGGTAGGTTTTGTGAGTATAACTTAGTCAAGATATGAGAAAGACTTTTAAAAAAATTCATATGTGTAAATGAAAGAGGAGAAATTAATGGTAAGTCCTTTTAGTTTCTATGTGAAAGTCGCATGACATCGTAGGAAGATCAGAGGGCTAAGAGTGACTTAGGGCAAGGCATTTCATCTCAGCTTGGTGGCTTGAAAGGGTGATTATAACTCTTTCACGTTCCTCTCCAACCCTAAAATTCTATAACTTTTTAAATTTGGTCCTATTACTCACATTCACTTTTCAAATTTTTACCACTTGGTTTATTGGAACAACTGAAAAAAGATCCAGTGTGAAAGACAGATGATGGAAATGGCAAGGGCGGGCTGGGCATGGTGGCTCACACCTGTAATCCCAGCACTTTGGGAGGCCGAGGCAGATGGATCACCTAAGGTCAGGAGTTCGAGACCAGCCTGGCCAACGTGGCAAAACCCCATCTCTAATAAAACTACAAAAAAAAAAAAAAAAGTTAGCTGGGCATGGTGGCAGGTGCCTGTAATCGCAGTTACTCGGGAGGCTGAGGCAGGAGAACCTCTTGAACTCGGGAGGCTGAGTTTGCAGTGAGCCAAGATTGCACCATTGCACTCCAGCTTAAGAGACAGAGTGAAACTCTGTCTCAAAAAAAAAAAAAAGAAAAAGAAAAAGAAAAAGAAAAAAAGAAATGATAAGGGCAATGTATGGATTAAACTGAGTACTTAGGGATCCAGTGCCAGGAAGAAATGCAGGGAAAAGAGGTTGGAGGGCTCTGAAAACTGGGTGGTAGTTGACGCATTGAGGAAGAAGACAAGATTTTGAAGTACTACCAAAGTGGAGGAAAGCGCCCTATTTGTCTGCAGAATTCTCCAGCTTGGATTGAAGGCAACTTGGAGACAGCAGCCTCTCTTTTAGCTCTGGCCCCCAAAGCTCAGAGCTGGGAGGGCCATCCACCATCCCAAGCTCGCCCCTCTCCTCTCTCAAGCCGCGCTCTGCAGGGTAAGGACTGTGAAGGCAGCAGGTGCGGGGAGCGTGAGCTTCAAGGCAGGGACCTCTCTTTCTAAGGTGGTGAGGAAAAGACTGGCTTCTTTTTCTCTGTATCTCCTGCTTGGAGCAGCCGCAGTTGCAGGATGTGCACAGCAGAGCTGAGTAACTAAAAGCCCAGCTTTCTGGCTAGATGATCAAAACGAGGAAAGGAGAAGCTGTGGCCGGGGAGATCCTGGAAAGGGAGGAGCTTGGGAAGACAGCCTCACAGTGTGGCTTGGGCAGAGGAACGGATCAATGGCACAGGATAAAGGAACTGGACATAGACCTGCATAGGTGCAGTCAACTTAATTTTTTAAAATGAAAATGCAAAGCAATCCCATAGAGGAAGATTAGAATTTGCAACAAAAGATGTTGGGAAAATTAAACACTGTAGGCCAAAAAAGAAAACACACAAACAAAAAGCTAGACCTAAACTTCACACTTTCTATAAAAATTAACTCAAAATAGATCATAGATCTAAATGTAAAGTGTGAAACTACAACATTTCTAGAAGAAAACACAGGAAAAAAATCTTCCTGTGCAAGAGTTAGACAAAAAGTTGTCATGTCTAAGAAAGAAAAAAATTGGTAATATGGACTTCATCAAACTTTCAAACTTCAGTTCTAAGTAGGGCTTGTTAGGAGGATAAAAAGTTAGCTATTGCCTGGAAGAAATATTTACAAATCACATACCTAAGAAAGAACTTTTATCCAGACCATATAAAGAATGCTGCAACCTCAACAACAAGAAAACAGGCAAAACATTTGTTGACACCTCATCAAGGAAGGTATAGAGATAGCAAATAAGCACATAAAAAGATGTTCACCATCATTAGCCATTAGGGAAATGCAAATTAAAGCTACAATGAGACATCAATGCACACCTAATAAGTGGCTAAAATAAAAATACTGACAATACCGTGTGCTGACAAGCACGCAGAGCAGCAGGCTTTCTCATGCACTGCTGATGGAAATGGAAAACAGCATAACCATTGTGGAAGGTGGTATGGCTGTTTCCTACAAAGTTAAAAACATATTTGCAATGCAATCCAGGCCTCCTGGGTATTTATGCTACAGAAGTGAAACACACAGTCACACAGGAATGTGAACACAGATGTTCATTGCTGCTTCATGTGTAGCAGCCCACGACTTGAAACCACTCAAACATCCTTCAACCTGTGAATAAATAGACAAACTGTGACACAAAACAAAGAAACAAACTATCAATGCAGGCAACAGCTTAGGTGGATTTGTAGGGCTTTATGATGAATGAAAAAAAAGCAATCTCAAAATGGTGCTACCTACATTATTCTACTTACGTACCATTCTTTTTTTTTTTTGTTTTTGAGACAGAGTGTCACTCTGTCACCCAGGCTGGAGTGCAGTGGTGCGATCTCAGCTCACTGCAAGCTCCACCTCCTGGGTTCAAGCCATTCTCCTGCCTCAGCCTCCCGAGTAGCTGGGACTACAGGCGCCCACCACCATGCCTGGCTAATTTTTTGTACTTTTTTTAGTAGAGACGGGGTTTCACCGTGTTAGCCAGGATGGTCTCGATCTCCTGACCTCGTGATCCGCCCACCTTGGCCTCCCAAAGTGCTGGGATTACAGGTGTGAGCCACTGCACCCTGCCCTTACATACCTTTCTTAAAGTGTAAAATTAGAGTGTGAAGACCTAACAGCTGGTGCCAAAGGTCAGAGTCAGGGAGAAAGCGTGACTGAAAGGACAAAGGAGCATCTTTGCACTGCTCCTTTCAGTCACACCTTCTCATGAGACTGATGAAGCAGTTCTGTACCCTGATTCTAACTGGGACTGGGTGGTGATGGCTGAACACATCTACAGAAATCTGTGGAAACATCTTTATCCAGAAAGATTTTCAAAGGAAGACAGAAAAAGAACTATAAACACAAAACAAAAGACAGAAAGAAAAAACTGAACTTAAATGCTGTTGAAATCTGTATGTACATGTGTTAATAGTATTGTACCTCTTAACAGCTTCCTCATTTGGACCATGCACTGAGGTCCTGGAAGATATTTTCATTAGGGGACACTGGCTTAAGAATACGCCAGAATTAAGTCTGGGCACAGTGGCTCATGCCTGAATCCCAGCGCTTTGGGAAACCAAAGCAGGAGGATCCCTTGAGGCCAGGAGTTCTAAATCAGCCTGGGCAACATAGCGGACCTCATCTCTACAAAAAATTTAAAAATTAGCTGGGCATGGTGAGGGGTGATTGTAGTTCTAGCTACTCAGGAGGTTGAGGCAAGAGGATCGCTTGTTCCTGGGAGGTCGAGGCAACAGTGAGCCATGATCACACCACTGCCCTCCAGCCTGAGAGACAGAACAAGTCCGTCTCTCCAAAAAAAAAAAAAAAAAAAAAAAAAAAAGAATACACCAGAACTCACTATACCATTTTGCAATGTCTGGGAGGCAACGCATATTTCAAAAGAAAAGCTACAATAAAAAAAAAAAAAGAAAGGGAAAATGAATACTTAGGGACAATTAAGAGTCTACCAAATTCGATAAAATTACTTTACTGGACAACAAGGTCACACTTTCAATTTTCATATTTCCCTAACACTTAGTAGAGCAGCTTAAATGAAATTGCATTTAATAATATGTGAATATCAGAGAAAACCAGGTAATTTAAAATTAAATTGCCAACTAAATATCTTAGTAGGATGCCAAATAGTAATTATCCTATTATCACCTTTTTATTACTTCTTAAGTTTAGTTTTAAGTTTTACTACTTAAAATTGTTAGCATAGGTTCCTTAAAATCAGTATGTTACTACATGCTTCTCCGTTTCTGAAAGAATTCTTCTTAAGAAAAAAAATTAGTTGAAAAATGTAATATGTCTGTATTAACTAATCAGATAAGATATCAAATTTTGTGAGGGATATTTTACTCCTAAGATTCTAATGCACCATGTTAAGCTTTATCCACAAAGATTTTCAAAGGAAGACAGAAAAAAAATCTATTTCATATTCAACATTCTGTCAAGGACTCCATATAAACTTCTCTGAAATGAAACATTTTCATTTTCAGACCGTGTGAATAACTGGTTGAATTTGGACACTCAACCCTGACCTCGGGTCCTTAGGTATATTTCACATGTTTCAGACGTGACTGATTGCCTGTTGAGTTCAATTATTCCTCCAACGCCTGAAGGATTCTGAAGAACCCTAACATTTGCAGGAAGTGACCTTGCTCCCACTCCATCATGCAACAGCTGTCAGAGATGTTTCTGTGGCCCACTCTGTCAGACGAGAAGACGATTTATCAGGTAAAACCTCTGTTGTTGGACAGTGAAATTGCAGGGCTTCATTCTTTTAAGACTCTTATTTTGGCATAAAAGATTCCAGGTGACAATAACAAAGATAAGTGTTAGTGGTTACAATGTGAGATTTATAGATGGTGTCTGTGTCCTGCAGTAGTGGAGATAGTTGGAAGATACATAAATCCTACAAATCCTACATTTTTGCTGTATTAATAAATATTTGGATGGAAACCAGGAAACATTTTCATTGTCAATTACTTGGCATTAGACTGAAAATTCCTCATGGACAAAACTTCTTATGAATCCAATTGCCCCAGCCTTGTGCACACAAGATGGCACTAGCTTGGGGGCCTGAATGGGGTTGCACTGGTGAGCAAATTAATGACAGGAAACCTACGGGAAAGGGGGTTATCAGTTGCTTTTTCTTCCCAGCACACGAAATGTACGTTTAGGTCATACTATTCAGTTTCAACTTGGGTAAGGAAGAATAGCCTAGGTGAATATATACATTTCCATTAAAAAGTAATCTTAATGCTTCTCTTTCATACCCCTGGTTTTCCTCAAGCATTTGGTGTTTTCTCCCTACCTGTCACATTGATAACTAAGCGATTAAAATGTATGGCATATGTAACTGGCATAGGTTTCCTTGACAACTATGTAGGTCTCCTTCCTCATAGTCCATTCCCAGAATGAGGGTCCCGGCAGCAGCTCTCTGAAAATGAGAGTGGGGAATGCAGGGGGTGTCACCTGTAGGGTGACTGACTGAAGAGCAGGCAGGCTGGAGGCTGGGAGACCATAGAGTTTCCAGTTTCAGGAGCACTTTTCTCTGTGGCCCAAGGGCTTGAGTGCATTTCCTCTTCTAAGAGAGTTGCTCTTCACTTGTTTTATTTTTGCCTCCTTGCCTTTTGAGGAAGTTCTGCATTACCCAAGGCTGTGCTCAGCCTTCTCTCAGAGTCCAGCATCCGCACCAGGAGCTTTCTACACGTAGAGCACCTGCTTTACTTCGAGGACAATTCTCCAGGCTTAATTCTGGGGACAAAGGCCCGTCGTAGCCAGGCACCATTTTGAATCAGTACCAGTCTTTGTCCTGTAATTTCTTTCTACAAATTTGAGTTATACTGCTTTACAAATTATGTCTGTATCCCCATGCCATTGACTTTATTTTCTAAAAGGCATTTCTAATAGATGCATGGTATTCTATTCACTGTCACTACCAAAGTTTATTTAGTCATGCTCCTATTAGTGACCACTTGAGTATCCCCAATTTTATCATATTTAACATTGTAATGAAAAGCTTTATATAGAAATAGTTGCCATCTATAATTATTTCCTAGAAATAGAACTGTTGTTACAAAGTGAATGAACAATTTGATTGTAACACGGATTGACAAATTGTATTCTAATAGTTTATACAAAGTTACCCTCCCACTAGCAGTCTAAAAGGCTCCCTTTTTCCCCATTTTCTTCTGTTCACTTTATTTTGGTTTTTCTCCCCATCAATTGTATCAGTAGAAAATAATATCACTTTATTTAGACTTTTTTTATTACTTATGCAATTAAGGTTTTTGCATTTATAGGCCACTTTTATACAATTTGTAATATCACTTTATTTAGACTTTTTTATTACTTATGCAATTGAGGTTTTTGCATTCATAGGCCACTTATATACAATTTGTGAACTGGCAATGCTATCTCCTTTTTTAAATAGAGAAATTATAATTCTTTACACTGATTTGTAAGAGTACCTTATGGAAAAGAATATTGACACTCATTCTTGTTTATAATAATGTTTGTTTAGTCAAGTCTATCTATTTTTTTTTTTTGCTTTTCTTTTTTAAAAATACATATTTCACCAACAGCATCCAGGCTGAGGGTGAAATCAAGAACACAGTCCCACTTACAACAGCCACAAAGAAAATAAAATACCTATAGGCATACAGCTAACCAAGGAGATGAACGATCTCTACGAGAAGCACAAAACACTGCTGAAAGAAATAAGAGATGAGACGACACAAATAAATGGAAAAATATCCCATGCTCAAGGATTGGAAAAACTAAAGCTGACCCAATTGTCCCATAGACAGTTTTATTCTGGTGTTTGGTTTTTTTTTTGTTTTTTTGGTTTTTGGTTTTTGTTTTTGAGATGGAGTATCGCTCTGTCACCAGGCTGGAGTGCAGTGGTGCAATCTCAGTTCACTGCACCCTCCGCCTCCCAGGTTCAAGCAATTCTCCTGCCTCAGCCTCCCAAGTAGCTGGGATTACAGGCATGTGCCACCATGCCTGGCTAATTTTTGTATTTTTAGTAGACATGATGCTTCACCATGTTGGCCAGGATGGTCTCAATCTCTTGACCTCGTGATCTGCCCGCCTCAGCCTCCCAAAGTGCTGGGATTACAGGCATGAGCCACCACGCCCAGTCTAACAGTTTTTTTCTTTTTAATAAACATAGAAATTGACCCTTCTGGTCTTAAAGCTTGAAACTTATATTTGTTTTATCTGAGTTCCTTCCTGAGGAAATGACCTTCAGGCCTCTCACAAAAAGTGTCAAAGAACTGAAACTCAGTAGATCATCACATCCAGACAATGAGATGTTGTACCCCTCATTCATCGCGATTGCTTCCTGACACCTCCCTAGTTCCTGTTTTCTTACACAATGTTACATTCCTTCCTTGTTATATAAATCCCTGGTTTTAGTAGGTCAGAGAGATGGATTTGAGACTGAGTTCCCACCTCCTCTGCTGCAGCACCGGATTAAAGCTTCTTCCTTGGCAATACTTGCTGTCTCAGTCATTGGCTTTCTGTGCAGCAAGCAGCAGGACCTAGACTGAGCACCTGGTGTTTCAGTACCAAAACCACTATTGTAAAAATGGCCGTATTGCTCAAAGCACTTTACAGATTCAATGCTATACCTATCAAATTACCAACGTCATTCTTCACAGGATTAGAACATTTACTTTAGAAAATTTACTAAAATTAGAAAATTACTCTAAAATTTGTATTGAACCAAAAAGAGCCTGAACAGCCAAAGAAAGCCTAAGCAAAAAGAACAATGCCAGAGGCATCACTCTTTCCAACCTCATACTATACTATAAAGCCACAGTAACCAAAACAGCATGGTGCTGTTACAGAAACAGACACATAGACCAATGCAAAAGAATAGAAAACAAACAAATAAAGCTACATACCAACAACCATCTGATCTTTGACAAGGCCAACAAAAACAAGCAATGGGAAAGAACTCCCTATTCAATAAACACAGCTGGGATAACTGGCTAGCCATATGTAGCAGAATGAAACTGGACCCCTCCGTTTCACCTCATACAAAAATTAACTGAAAATACATTAAAGATTTAAATGTAAGACCTCAAACTATAAAAATTCTGGAAGGCAACCTAGGAAACATTCTTCTGGACATCAGCCTTGGCAAATAATTTTTAGCTAAGTCCCCAAAAGCACTTGCAACAAAAACAAAAACGGGACAAGTGGGACCTAATTAAACTCCAGAACTTTTACATAGCAAAATAAACAGAGAGTAAAAATCAGCACAGTAAACAGGCAGTCTAGGGAATGGGAGGAGATATTCGCAAAGTATGCACCTGACAAAGGCCTAATATCCAGAATCTATAGGGAACTTAAACAGTTGAACAAACAAAACCCAATTAACCCCATTAAAAGATGGGCAAAGACATGAACAGACATTTCTCAAAGAAGACATACATCAAATGTGTGAAAAAACGCTCAGCATCGCTAATCATCAGAGAAATCCAAATCAAAACCACAATGAGATACCATCTCATACCAGTCAGAATGGCTATTATAAAAAGTCAAAAAAACAGATGCTGGCAACATTGCAGAGAAAAGGGAAAGCTTATACGCTGTTAGTGGGAATGTAAATTAGACCAATCCACTGAGGAAGCAGTCTGGAGATTTCTCAAAACTTAAAACAAAGCTACCATTTGACTCAGCAATCCCATTACTGGGTATACACTCAAAAGAAAATAAATCATTCTGCCAAAAACACATTTACACTCAGATGTCCACTGCATCACTATTCACAATAGCAAAGACATGGAATCCACACAGGCGACCATCAGTAGGAAATTGGACAAAGAAAATGTGGTACATAAACACCATGAAATACTATACGCCATAAAAAAGAATAAAATCACATTCTTTGCAGCAACATAGATGGAGCTGGGGCGATCTAAGCAAATGAATGCAGAAACAGAAAACCAAATACCACATATTCTCACTTATAAATGGAAGCTAAGCATTGAGCATGTATGGACATAAATATGAGACACAATAGACACTGTGGACTACTAGACGGTGGAGGGAGGGAGGGAGGGAGGTTAGGTTAAAAAAGACTACCTATCAGGAACTATGCTCACTACCAGGGTGATGGGAAACGTACTTCAAACCACAGCATCATGCAATAGTCCATTGTAACAAATCTGCCCATGTACCTCCTATATCTAAATTGCAAGCTGAAATTTTTTAAAAAAGAAAAAACCCTATACAATAAAAATACATATTTGGTTTGAGATAAGTCAAATATTTTCCGGTATGTTAGTTAATTTAGAAAAATATTTCACTGATTAAGCCATTCAAATATTATTTTAGTTTTGCATGTGACATAAAAAAGGGAATCTGATGTGTGTGTGTATCGGAAATATTTATCCAATTTCCTCTCATGGTTTATTAAATTTTTCATCATTTTCCACGTGTTTAAAATGCCAGCTGCACACTATACATAAGGCATACATATTAATATTTTTCTAAAATGTATCTCAGGTCCCATTGACCTATCTATTCTCCAACTAATGTCATAATCTGGCAGGGCCAGATTATGTACTTAGCTCAAATCTTACTCTGATAGCAGTGGGAGGGTGTGTATCAAAAGGCTAAGACCAGGTAGGAAAGCAGGAAGCAAAGTTGTAAACGTCAGCAGACATTTGGGAGCTGGTCGGAGGGTGTGTGTGTCTGAACTCAGTGTCCGCCCTCCCTTGCAGGCTGCAACAGTCTCAAAACAGTGCCAGTGGGTTCTCCAGAGCTACGGGTAAATGTGGTTTTGCCTACACTCAAAACCCACTTGATATGTCTCTCTCTTTCTGTTATCTCCTGTGTCATTTCTGTATCTCTGCTCAGACCTTTGAGTAGCTGTTTGGCTGCACTGGGTTCTCCATTTTGCCTTTGCTCCATAGATGTCCCCTTTGAATAAACTGTAGGTCTATGTGACCTCCATCTGGTACCCTCTTACCCAATATCCCATTTCAGGAGGAAAACCATATAGGTAATAGCATATAAAAAATGTTAAACAACAGAAAATCATTTCTTAAAAAGATACTAATGATTGGGGTATTGGGAGGTTGGTAAACGAGAGATGGTAATTTTTATAGGGAGGGTAGAGAAAGCGGTCACCTCCTGCAATTCTGCCCAGGACAACAGGACAAGAGATAGTATCACTCACTGATTTAGAAAATGCATAAGAAAGAACTGGCCTCATACTTAAGGATCATAAGTTCAGTTTTGTGTATGTTAAGATGGAATTGCCTTTTGGTGATTCCCTAAAAGGCAGTTAAATATGTGAAGCTGTAGAAAGAGAGTTGGGAGTAAAGAACATATTAGCAGCAGTTGAACCCATAGCAATGGATGAAATCACTTAGATAAATCTCATGGAATAAGAAGACGGGAAAGGCATATGTGGAAATCTAACTTTGCAAGTATGGGCAAAGGAAAGGGAGCATAATAAAGTGTCTGACAAGCAGTGGTCAGAAACTCAGCAGTAGGATAGCAATTACTATCATAAAAGCCCACCAAGAAGAAAGTACTCAGAAGGAGGGAGTGATAAACAGCTTCAAATGCAAATAGCATGTAAACTGCCACATGTTTATCAGAATAGGCCACTGCAAAGTTCCATCTGTGACATGGGAGAAAGGGCTTTCTGCAAAATTACTCAGCCAGAAAGCTGGATTAAATGGGAAATGATGAAAGGAGGCATTGCAGGCTATTCTTTAGATTAGATTGCCTGCATTAGTAGGTTAAAAGATTGAGGGGGAGAATGTTTATCATTAAAAAATAAAAAAGATGTTGTTTCTATATTGAGTAGCATAATCTATCAATGAAGCAGAGATTGAAGATGTGGAAGAAAGTGAGTATCATGAGAGAGGCTATTCTCCCAGGAAGTCCAGAAGAGACACACAGAGAACAGAGGTTGGAAGTGACCCAAAGACGAAGTGAAGGATGGCAGCTCCTCTCAGGCCCGAGGAATGATTTGGCGTTGATGAATGGAACAATGGTATGGTAGCATCTTAAAGAAGAAGGATTTGATCTTTAGCAATATGGGGTGAGAGAAAAAATGTTTTATCAGTCCTAAACCAAAAATAAGTTACAGTGATGAGAAGTATGTCGTTAACAGACTTATTCATTTATTCAAGTCACATTGATTATCTACCACGTACCAGACACTACTATTTAGACATAACAATTAAAATCTAGCCTATAAAATTAATAAGAAATTAATTATGAAAAATAACATTTTAAAATAATAAGTCTTTGGTGTGATGAGTGTTACCAAAAAAGTAGTATGAGAAATCAGGTTTGATGACTTTTTTTATAATTTTTTATTGAAAAATAAAAGTTGTATATATTTATCATGTACCACATGATGTTTTAAAATATATACACATTTTATAATGGCTACATTGAACTAAAATAATTCCGATACTACCTCTTTCTTTCATATTGTTAACCAGAAGGAGGAGAGTTGGACCTGAATGCTTGCTATTTGCACTTTACCCTGTGCGTCCAGTCCTCAAGTACAACATACAGTCATAGGCAGAGTGAGACATCTGAAACTGTAGAAATGTCTGAAATAGTTGCTGGCCCAAAACTACTTTGATGAGAGAACAGATGGGTGACAGCCTGGAGTTTCTATAAGCAGTTAGGAAAAATAGTCAATGTTAGCAAACAACATCCATAGTAACAAGCCTGAAATCGCCAAGAGAATATTTTTCATTACTGATGTGTAAACATTTGCCAAAGTTATGACGAGCAGAAGCTGCTTCTCCTAACCTCGTGGTGCCCACTCCGCTGAGTGTCTTTCCAAAAGCAATTCACTGAGCTCATGGTACCTGTAAAACATCTCGTCCAGGGAGCCTTACCTTATCAAAGAGTATGCGACACTTTATCTAATGAGTGTGCTTCTAAGACATGTGTCCCCAGTCGTATAGCTTCTTCCTTTCGGGTTCCTGAGGGAGACGACAGAAAAAACAAAATATCAGTGGATTCATAAGAATTAGTACAAAAGCCCCGAAAAACAAAAATTCATTTTGTTTACAAGGTAGGATTTGAGAACAAAAGAATAATAAGTAATTATTTCTGTGTGTAATGATATTTACGTGAATTCCCCTTCTACCGGTTTTCTACTGATACTGGAACAAAGTACTACAGACCTTGTGACACAAACCACCAGGAATGTATTATCTTCCAGTACTGTAAGTCGGAAGCCCAACAGGGATCTCCTGGGCTAAAATAAATGAATTAGTTGGACTGTGTTCCCTTCTAGGGGCTTTAGGGAGACTTGATTTTCTTGCATTTTCCAGTTTCTAAAGGCCAACAACAATCCTTGGCTCAAGGCCCCTTTCCTCCATCTTCAAAGACAGGAAGGTTGTATCTCTCTGACCATTCTCACATCAGCACGTCTCCTTCTGACTCTGTCCTCTGACTCCTTCTTATACCTTTAAGGACCCTTGTGATTCCACTGGGCAGGACCCTCTCTCTAACTCAACGTCATTAAGTTTAATTACATCTGAAAGTCCTTCTGTCATGTAGGGTAACATATTCACAAGTTCTAGGGAATACCCTGCCTACCATGGCCCCATTGCTTAATTAAAAAGTTGATAACAGGTAAAATGGAAAAAATACAAAAATAATTTAGTCAGGCTTGATTATTTTAACATGTATGTTAAAAGTAGATTTTTATCAGTGGGATGAAACCAAGCTGTATATTCTACGTGGCCTTTCAGTACTCTTCTACTCGAGTAACAACTACGGAAGCTAGAGAGCATACAAAAAGATGGTGTAGGAAATGGTCAGTGCACAAGACCAGAAACTACACACCTGTGTAGTGGTATTGGCTTTTTTAATGTGCTGTGAAAACTAGGAAAAGCCATAATTTTAAAGGTCTTTTAAATATGTAAAGTGGGGGATATTAGGCATCATTATTGGCATATACACAGATACTTTATAATTTCTCACTCTGCCCTCAAAACATAAAAATCACGTGAGAAATCTGCATGTGAAAGTTCTTTGTAAATTGTAAAACACCATATAATTATGAGGGATTTTTACAAGTTTTTGAAAGCTTTTCACATGGATTAATTATCATTGATTCAAAGAGAGTTATGATGTATGTAGGACAACTGTTATCATTCTCTTTTCAATTATACAGCAATTGAGACTGACAGGATGTTTGTTGTCCCAAGCCAAAACGGTAACAGATTTGAGATTCCAAAGACTCAACGGGAGTCTTTGCCCTCACCTCCTGGGTATGCACTCCTACATCCGCTTGTAAATTAAGGGATTAAACACTCAGGCAAAAAGCACACAATATAACTTCAGTCCATGAGTGAAAGCTTGGCCTCTAACAAAATGACGACTTGAAGAATCATGAGAAAGAAAGAGACTGCCAATGTGAGCAGAGGAACCTCGTCAACAGTGACTTGACAGGAAAGAAAAATTTTAGATGTAATTAATTTCAAAGATTTATAATCAGCCTATGGGTGGGTAGAGGAGTAGACCAGTAATCCTGACAATTGGAAGTTAGATTTAGTGTTTGCTTTTGTGTAGTGTTAGAAAAAATTGTGTAGAGTGTAGAACTACGCCACTATAATGATATCTGTTGTACAATGAAGAAAAATTCCCACGTCATCACGGAAGTATAAGATGCTCAATAATAATTAGTGACTAATTATCAGAGAAATGCAAATCAAAACCAATTGCAATGCAATGATATATCACCTTACTCCCATTCAGATGAATACTACCAAAATAAATAAGTAAAATCACAACTATTGACAAGAATGTCGAGAAATCGGGACTCTTGTGCACTGTGGGGACTGTAAAATGGTGCAACAGCTATGGAAAGTGAAGTATTAAGGATTTACCTAAAAAGACTCAGTTATTCCAAAGTAATCATTTAAAATCGAATGGGGGGTGTATTTTAAATAGATTCCATATTTAAACTGAAGGGAGACAGTTGAAACTGGAAGAAACTGTAATATTGTTCACTGTAAATTCTAACTTATTCAGCTATCTGTTGAAACATTGGCTCAAAAGCTATAGTGGTTTTTCAAAAAATTGAATATATGATCTAGCAATCTCACTTCTGAGTATATACCCAAAAGAATTAAAAACAGCATCTTGAGGTCTTTCACACCTACGTTCATAGCTGTACTATTCACAACAGCCAAAAGGTGGAAGCAACCTAAACGTTCATCAGCAGATGAGTGGATAAACAAAATGTGGTATAGGCACACAGTGTGATATTATTCTACCTTAAAAACAAAGGAAATTATTTCACATGCTATAACATAAATGAACCTCGAAGACTCTGGGCTAAATGAAATAAGTCACTTACAAAAAGGCAAATACTGTATGATTCCACTTTTACAAGGTATTTAAAGTAGCAAAATTTATTGAAACACAAGATAGAATAGTGGTTACCAGGGTTGGGGAGAGTTGAAAAGTGGGAATTGTTGTTCAATGATTATAAAGTTTTACTTTGGCAAGATTATTCAGGTGAATGTGCTTAACATTACTTAACTACACAATTTAAAAAGAGCCCAAATAGCCAAGGCAATCCTAAGCAAAAATAACAAAGCTGGAGGCATCACATTACCGGACTTCAAACTATACTACAAGGCTACAGTAACTAAAACAGCATGATACTGGTACAAAAACAGACACATAGACCAACAGAACCAAATAGATAATCCAGAAATAAGACCAGACATCTAAATCATCTGACCTTTGACAAATATGACAGAAACAAGCAATGGAGAAAAGACTTCTTATTTCAATAAATGGTGCTAGGATAACTGGCTAGCCACATGTAGAAGACTGAAACTGGATTCCTTCTTTACAGCATACACAAAAATCAACTCAAAATGGATTAACGCCTTAAATATAAAACCCAAAACTATAAAAACCCTGGAAAATAACCTAGGAAATACCATTCTGGACATAGGAAGTGGCAAAGATTTCATAACAAAAACACAAAAAGCAATTGCAACAAAGCACAAATTAACAAATGGGATCTAATTGAACTAAAGAGCTTCTTCACAGTATAAGAAACTATCAGCCAGGCACAGTGGCTCACGCCTGTAATCCCAGCACTTTGGGAGGCCGAGGCAGGCAGATCACGAGGTCAAGAGATCAAGACCATCCTGGCCAACATAGTGAAACCCCGTCTCTACTAAAAATACAAAAATTAGCTGGGTGTGGTGGCACATGCCTGTAGTCCCAGCTTCTCGGGAGGCTGAGGCAAGAGAGTGTCCAGAGTGACACTCCAGGCTGCTGTGTGGATGCAAGGACCCACTCTCCTCCTGCAGACATAGAAAGGGTACTCCTCATAGACACAGCCACCAACCTGGAGAAGTAAAGGAGAGTGAGTCTGGGCGCAGTGGCTTACACCTGTAATTTCAGCACTTTGGGAGGCCAAGGTGGGCTGTGTCTCTACAAAAACTACCAAAAAAAATTAGCCAGGTGTGGTGACACATGCCTGTAATCCCAGCTACTCCAGAGATTGAGGCATGAGAATCACTTAAACCCAAGAAGCGGAGGTTGCAGTGAGCCAAGGTCACACCATTGCACTCCAGCCTGGGTGACAGAGTGAGACTCTGTCTCAAACAAACAAACAAACAAACAAAAAAACAAACAAAAAAGAGTGAGAGAAGTGAGAGAAAAGTAGAGTATTGAAGATTTATCTGAAAGGACTCAGTTGTTCCAAAACAATCCTTTAATATCTAATAGGGAGTTGTATTTATTTTAAATACACCCCATATTAAACTGAAGGGAGACAGTTGAAACTGAAATATTATTAACTAGAAATTCTAAACTACGCAGCTATCTGCTGAAACATTGGCAAGAGCAGGCCCATGATAGAGAATAACAAAACTATACGTTCTGTGGATACCTAAGTTGGAGTGCCTGTTAAATGGGTATTCTCTGTCTCTGTTTTGACTGAGGCCCAAAGATAGTAACTGTCAATGCTACTCATATTGCAGAACAATCTGTGAATCCATCAAAGCAGACCTTGCCAAGGAGGCGGCTGGGAATAATTTGGGGACCCTCGGAAGACCACTTGCCTCCATTCTTTTAGAAATATTGGACACGAAATTAGAAAGGTTTTTTGTGGGAAAGATATTGGTATGCTGCTGTTCCACTACTTGGCCTCCAGGACTTTTCTGAGGGACAAAGATGCCTGCTAGGGATTCACTTTATATCTGTGTCAGGAGATGATGGGTCTGTGTTAGTCTGTTTTATGCTGCTGTAACAGAGTACCACAGACTGGGTAATTTATGATGAACAGAAGTTTATGTGGTTCATGGTTCTGGAGGCTGGAAGTCCAAGAGCATGATGCCGACATCTGACAAGGGCCTTCATGCTGCATTATGTCATGACAGAAAGTGGAACGGCAAAAGAGGTCAAGAGCAAGAGCAAGAGGAGGCTGAACTTGCTTTTATAACAAGCCTACTCTCTTAATAATGAACCCACTTCCACGATAATGGTGTTAGTCCACTTATGAGGGCTCTGCCTTCTTAAAGGTTTCATGTCTCAAAACTGTTTCACTGGCAAATAAGTTTCCAACATATTCAGACCAAAGAAGAGTCCTCAGATCCACCCAGAGTCCAGAGGTGCCCACTGTGGAGTGGGCAGATTGGTCTCATTTAACCCTTTGTTGTGACTTGCTGGCACCTGTTCCTAGAGCCCATGGCTCTGACCATTTGACATGCATTTGAAGTCCTTACCAGTAGTGTCCTCTTTATTGTGATTCCAGATGTGGCAGACAGAAAGAGATAGAAAGTGTGCCAGTTTGGGGTTCATCTCAGATGCTATCCAGGAAGACTACCCAGAAGGACTTGTCAAGAAAAGGGTGAGTCAGCAGCTTCCTAGGAGCTGAGGGAGGAGACAGAAATGGTTGAGGTAAAGAGATAAAACCCTGCATTTCTAGCACCATGGCCAGAATGGAAGCAATACTTGATTTCCTGAATGTCCAAGAGCATATGCTCTATGTGACACCAGGGGTAAAAAGAGAGGGTGCAGCTGTTGAAATTCAACAGTCACTGGAGTTGAGCATCGTGGCTTACTCAGTTCCTGGGGAAGAGAGGTGTGCTTGCCTGCCAGGCTTGCATTGCAACAACTAGCATTTCCTGTTCTCTCTGCCCACTAAGAAAGAGCTAGAAGAAGAAGGGAAAACTGCTGCATTCAGAAAGTGGAAACATTTATGGAAGCAGAGATTTTACTATGTCCCCCGAAGAAAAAATTGGTAGACTGAAAATAGCTGCCAATGTCCGCCATGTGAATTAGCATGAACCACCCCAATTAAATAGAGAAATATTTCAATAGTGATTCTAAACATACACATCACATCGAATGTGTTCATATGAATTTTAAGTAGTCTGCTCTCCAGAAAGCACTAAGGGCTGCTTTGTACAGCACAAGAAATGGCCCTGAATGCCAAAAAGTTCCTTCAAACACCACAAAACTACTTGATATACAGTTTATCTGAAAAAGATTCCCACAAGGTATAAACTGAATTCCTTAAACACACTGCCAATAGATGAAGAAAATAGTGGTTTAATAAATACTGAATTCCTTTCTATAAAAGTATATCCAAAAGGAAAAAGTTGAAATTGAAGATGTTATATTAAAATATGCCATTGTAAGTTGAAACATTTTTGCATAAATTTTTAAAATTCTCATATTCAGAGAAAGAAGTATGTGAGAAATTATCCATAAAGTGGCTGATATGGCATTCTGAATTTTAAAATTGGGTATACAGAAAACAAGTTATTTTAACTTCAAAATGACTATTTGTAAAATTAAGCCCACCTTATACACAGAAGACTTGGAAATTTAGGGCCCATCAACAAAAAGGGAAAAGTAGATTTATTCAATCAGTCCATTGGTTGCATTTGATTATTTTACAAAAATTTAAAAATCATTAAGAATTGAGGTGTCTCTTTAAAAAAATCATTCCTGAAATGTGTATAGAATTGTGATGCTATCATGCTACCTAACTTCAAAGTATACTACAAGGCTACAGTAACGAAAACAACATGGTACTGGTACGAAAACAAATATATAGACCAATGGAACAGAACAGAGGCCTCAGAAATAACACCATACATCTACAACCATCTGATCTTTGACAAACCTGACAAAAACAAGGAATGGGGAAAGGATTCCCTGTTTAATAAATGGTGCTGGGAAAACTGGGTAACCATATGTAGAAAGCTGAAACTGGATCCCTTCCTTACACCTTATACAAAAATTAATTCAAGATGGATTAAAGACTTAAATGTAAGACCTAAAACTATAAAATCCCTAGAAGAGGCCGGGCGCGGTGGCTCACGCTTGTAATCCCAGCACTTTGGGAGGCCGAGGCGGGCGGATCACGAGGTCAGGAGATCGAGACCATCCTGGCTAACACGGAGAAACCCCGTCTCTACTAAAAAAATACAAAAAAATTAGCCGGGCGTGATGGCGGGCGCCTGTAGTCCCAGCTACTCGGGAGGCTGAGGCAGGAGAATGGCGTGAACCCAGGAGGCGGAGCTTGCAGTGAGTCGAGATCGCGCCACTGCACTCCAGCCTGAGCCACAGAGCGAGACTCCGTCTCAAAAAAAAAAAAAAAAAAAAAATCCCTAGAAGAAAACCTAGGCAATACCATTGAGGACACAGGCATGGGCAAAGACTAAAACACCAAAAGCAATGGCAACAAAAGCCAAAATAGACAAATGGGATCGAATTAATCTAAAGGGCTTCTGCACAGCAAAAGAAACTACCATCAGAGTGAACAGGCAACCTACAGAATGGGAGAAAATTTTTGCAATCTACCCATCTGACAAAGGGCTAATATCCAGAATCTATAAAGAACTTAAACTAATTTACAAGAAGAAATGAAACAACCCCATTAAAAAGTGGGCAAAGGATATGAACAGACGCTTCTCAAAAGAAGACATTTATGCAGCCAACAGACACATGAAAAAATGCTCATCATCACTGGCCATCAGAGAAATGCAAATCAAAACCACAATGAGATACCATCTCACACCAGTTAGAATGGCGATCATTAAAAAGTCAGGAAACAACAGGTGCTGGAGAGGATGTGGAGAAATAGGAACACTTTAACACTGTTAGTGGGAGTGTAAATTAGTTCAACCATTGTGGAAGACAGTGTGGCAATTCCTCAAGGATCTAGAACTAGAAATACCATTTGACCCAGCCATCCCATTACTGGGTATATACCCAAAGGATTATAAATCACGCTACTATAAAGACACATGCACATGTATTTTATTCTAGCACTATTCACAATAGCAAAGACTTGGAACAAACCCAGATGTCCATCAATGATAGACTGGATTAAGAAAATGTGGCACATATACACCATGGAATACTATGCAGCCATAAAAAATGATGAGTTCATGTCCTTTGCAGGGACATGGATGAAGCTGGAAGCCATCATTCTGAGCAAACTATCACAAGGACAGAAAACCAAACACCGCATGTTCTCAATCATTGGTGGGAATTGAACAATGAGAACACTTGGACACAGGGCGGGGAACATCACACACCGGGGCCTGTTGTGGGATGGGGGGAGGGGGGAGGGATAGCATTAGGAGATATACGTAATGTAAATGATGAGTTGATGGGTGCAGCACACCAACATGGCACACGTATACATATGTAACAAACCTGCATGTGTGCACATGTACCCTAGAACTTAAAGTATAATAAAACAAAATAAAATAAAATACAATATAATAAAGTAAAAAAGAACTGTGTGTTCTTTTAGTAAAAAGAACTTCCAGGTGTAGTTCTGGACTTACTCTTCCATGCATGCCGGCACCACATAACAGAGTTTCCATCTAGTGCAGATTTGTTTACAACAATGCTTTCTCGGGGACTGCATATGCGTTTGTCTTTTATGGACTTCCAGAATGCCAATGTGGACAGGCTCCTTCCAGGACTGTGAATGTGCAGGAGTCCACTGTCACGGGGATATCATTCAGATAACTGTCTTTAGACTTGAAAGAATCATAGCAGAGTCTCAGCAAATACTTAGCAGACACTGCCTTGGTCATTTTGATGTCCCAAGGGTAACCTGAAATACAATTCAACACTCACATCCTCTCCTGTCTCCAAAAATAAGGATAAAACTCTTGGCATGCAAAAGCAACAAATATTTAGAGGCCCTAAAGCAAGTCTGTAGTGAGCATGAGTTCTGGAAAGTTAATATACAAAGCCCAAGACCAGTAGGATACTGTGGAGCAGACCAGCTGAGAGATTCCAGAGTGATTTCACAGCAAACCTTCAATACATATAGAAATACACCGAAGACCAAATTCTCCTGTATGAAGAGTTTTATCATTTATTACCTAGAAAGCAAGCTATGCATTTACATAATAACACAGTCCTCTCAGACTGGGATCACTGTGGAAGCATGTTGGATGATATTCAAATTCTCTGAACTGGGTATGCATTGAAAGCTGTGGGGCATTTCATTTAAAATTTAAAAAGTATAAAAGTATAATTTTCTAAGAACCGTGGATTGGAAGAGTTACTTTCCTTCCACAGTAACTTATCTTGGCCAAAGGAAAACCTTCAGCTTGGCAGGACCCACGGTATCACAGATCCATGCCCTTTGGCATAAATATCTAAAATGTTTTGACTACCTTTGGAAACAAAAAAAGCTGTGAAGGCAAGATGGAGTGGAGAAGAGGAAAGAATTGAGGAGAGATTCTGCTATTATTATTTTTAAAATCTTGGTTGATTGCTTTCTTTGATTTTGTTTTCTTTTAAAGTAACTTTGCAATAAGTAATAGAAGAAAAAGTATATAACTTAGGACAAAAGAAATAAAAATGATATTTAAAATAAAATTTTGATCAGAAGCAGATTTCCCCTCTTAGTACCAACCTATATTGCATATTTTTCATATTTTAAACATGGAAAATAAGTATACTTTATCTAATAATTATACTTACTAATAACTGTCTTCTGTCAAACAGAAAAAGATGTAAGTAAACTGCATTCTTCAGTGTTACTGTGAATAGATAGAGAAAAATATTTTTAATAGAACAATGTTTCCTAGTTTCATAATTTTAAAAAAATTGGCCAGGCACCGTGGCTCACGCCTGTAATCCCAGCACTCTAGGAGGCCGAGGCAGGCAGATCACGAGGTCAGGATATCAAGACCATCCTGGCTAACACGGTGAAACCCTGTCTCTACTAAAATACGAAAAAATTAGCCGGGCATGGTGGTGGGCGCCTGTAGTTGCAGCTACTTGGGAGGCTGAGGCAGGAGAATGGCGTGAACCCAGGAGGCAGAGCTTGCAGTGAGCCGAGATCACGCCACTGCACTCCAGCCTGGGCGACAGAGCGAGAATCTGTCTAAAATTCTTATTTAGTCTTGAGCACTAAATAAATGTGACTGATAATATTTTGGAGAATAAACATAACTTAAGTAACTTTACTAAAAATTAAAAATTCATACAAAAGTTATCTCGTTCACATAATTTTTCATTCAAAAAACTGATGAGTAAAACATAACTTTGCTCTTGAACTGCAATTTTTCAAAATATTTAACCAACAAAAATCAAGACTTTCATTTTATAAACTTAGAAACAAAATCAGCACACCCCAAATTAGTGATGAGACAACTTCTGTAATTTATTGCAAAAGATTATACTCAGATATCAAGACACATGTAAAGCTCCACCTTAACGAACATAATGGATTAGGAGACACAGCATTCTTATGGCATAATGCACTAAATTTCATAATGTAAACCCAAATTATATTTCAGATTCTGTCTCTAATAAGTCACATGGGATAAGCACTTCACCACTCTTACTTACTTTAAAGAATTTATTATCTCTTCTTCAGCAACCCAATCCCAGAGTCATACTTTGGGTAATTTCATCACCTACTTTGCCTTGCCTCTTATCACTCTCCTTCTAACTTCCGTATTTCTATTTGTTCTCCATGAATCCACTAAGTCCTCCAACCTCTTGCCTCCCTCCATTTTCTCCTAAGCTTTCAAGCCCTGCTGTTTTCCCTTGTTTCTGCACTCAGCCAGGACCAACAATCTATGTATTATTTCATCCAAGAACCCTCGATATCCTTAGTCCTTCCCTATACTACCCCTGAAAATGTCCAGTCCTGGAGCCAGTAAAGTGTAGTTAAAAATGGAGAGTTTTTTGTTTCACTTAGGCCAGATTTATATCTGCCTCACCATTCAGCAGAGTACTTTTCTGCCACCATTCTCATTGATTCCCCATAGAGTGGTGACAACAATGTATAGATTGCAAGAGCTGTTGCAGAAATGAACCATGTGAGCTTGGGCCACATTCTCCAGTGTCTGATATGACAGCTGCTTAATCAAGAATAGCACTTTTCTACTTCTTTTTAAAATTCTCAGGCTGGGCACAGTGGCTGACACCTGTTATCCCACCACTTTGGGAGCCCAAGGAGGGTGGATCACGAGGTCAGGAATTCAAGACCAGCCTGGCCAAGATGGCGAAACCCCAACTCTACTAACAATACAAAAAAATTAGGCAGGCATGGTGGTGGGCACCTGTAGTCCCAGCTCCTCAGGAGGCTGAGGCGGAGAATTGCTTGAACCCGGGAGGTGGAGGTTGCAGTGAGCCGAGATTGCGCCATTGCACTCCAGCCTGGGCGACAGAGTGAGACTCTGTCTCAAACAAACGAACAAAAATTCTCCAAACACTAAGCACAAGAGGAGGAAGGCACACACCCTACGGCTAACAGTGCTCTGACAAAGGCATTGTTTCCAGAGCTGCATTCCTGACATTGTGCACGCAAGAGGATGTTTATTTGATTAGTTACCATCTTTTCTGATTATCTTCAGCTATCTTATCAAAGCTTTTCCTTCTCTAGTCTCTTACCCTCTGTCAGTGCTCTGTAGCCTCAGCAGGTGTGGTTGACATATATTTTATAAAGATGACCAGGACAACCTTCAAAGCATCATAATATCTCCTGCAACCAGCCCTGGCCATCGATGAATAGTATAACCTTCCACTGCTGGTGTCTTCGGAAGCTGCAGGAAAGTGTCCATGTCAAGGAATCTGTGTTCATTGAGAAATATATTTTCTTTCTCTTATAAATGATTGTCATGCTTCCTATTTTTTCCATCAAAATAGTTGAATGTTTGTAATATTAGGAGTTAGGAATTTTACATCTGAAGTTTAGATGTTGTTTGGATAGTTCTACAGTATTTACAGGGTCCGTGGTAGGAAGGAATACAGCCCAGCAGTGAGGCCTACACTTACGTGCATAAGGTTTATTTTTGTGTATTGAAAACACAGAACACTGTGTACATTTCTGGTCCTTAAAATACCATTTTCAAAGACATAAGTACATTGAAACTCAAGGTATAATTTTGATTATAGCCAAAACATTTGAGTGTTTGGTTCTCTTCTGTGCGTGCATCATTACATACCAACTGGACACATTATGCAGAACGGGGACTGCAAATACAGCCTGGGGGCTGCCCATGGTCTTCTGACATGCTACCTTCTGTTATTCTACTCATTTCATGACTCTAGACCCTAATGACTCTCTAAATGCCCTTTTGAGGAATGGTTGATCAAAATGAAAATGGCAGCCCCCATTCCCAGCTGCATGGGATGATAGAAGGATGTACGGCCAAAGTAACACGGCTAGGAGGAAAAGTTCTGTGCTGCCTTCCGGAATTTGACCCTATTTGAACTTTACTCATGTTTTACATACCAGAGGCTTCTCCACCATTGAAAAAGAAGAAAAGAATGCTAAATGATGACTTCATGTGGAAAACAGAAAAGCAGACACTTCTTGGGTCTGGATTGTGACCTGGCACCTGATTTCTTCTTTGATTATTGAGAAGCTCAACATGTACCAGTCCACAAGCAGCAGATAAGCTGTAATAATGCATGAAGCGAGTAGAGCCAATTAACCAGCACATACTGTGTGTTTCTGCTACTGTGGCCACATGCTGGGCTATTATCTAATCACAAAAAGATCAAGGCCACCATCATTAAGTAAGTACATCTCTAAGGTCATTTTGGAAGCCAATTCAAATATCTATTTATGAAGATAAATATCATAAATGATGTGATTATATTTCTGCTTAGAGTCTGTACAAATTGTAATAATCTAAATACATTTATAGCTTCCTGAAAGAATAAAATATTACTATTTATATCCTGTCTCTGATATCCCCTATGTAGACAAAAAGAGTAAAAACAGGTGAGAGAACTGATCTTAAAATACTGTAGGAATCACTGTGAAAAATATCTCACGAATACAAGGACATCTGGGCCAAACTGAAGAAGTACAAAGCACAAAAACCTTACCTTTTAGACCCTGAACATGGCATCAATGTCCCTGAGACCTCCAGGGACCTGAGAACCCAGAGAAGAATATCCTAGTTAGAAGAGAGACTTAGGGGTGCGATAATGCCGTGGGAGAAGTGGAGAACATTGCTCTGGAGTACTCCATTCTGAGAGAGAAAGAGAAAGAGGGGGTATCCAGATTTAAGGGTGACTCTGCAGGTTATTACAATTCTTTACTTCAACACAAATCCTAATTTAGAGGTCAAGCACAGAGAAGAAAAGTTACAAACATTGAAAAGAGAAGAAAAACTGCAGTCAGCTTTGCACCGACCAGAAACAACTGAGCTGAAAACAAAACGACTGTGGATTAAAGAGCTTCATTGAGAGACATGCTGACATTTCGTCTGAGGGCGATCTGCGCAAACCGAAGGAGGCTGTAACCATCTGCAGAGAGACGTGTCCCTAGAAAACAGGCCCAAGTGGCTGTGCCCATCACTGACAGACTGGATCAAGAAAACGTGGCACATATACACCAGGGAATACTGTGCAGCCATACAAAAGGATGAGTTCATGTCCTCTGCAGGGACATGGATGAAGCTGGACACCATCATTCTCAGCACACTAACACAGGAACAGAAAACCAAACACCACATATTCACTCATAAGTGGGAGCTGAACAATGAGAACACATGGACACAGGGAGGGGAACATCACACACTGGGGCCTGTCAGAAGCTGGGGGACTAGGGGAGGGATAGCATTAGGAGAAATACCTAATGTAGATGACGGGTTGATGAGTGCAGCATACCACCATGGCACATGTATACCTATTTTGTAACAAACCTGCACGTCTTGCACATGTATCCCAGAACTTAAAGTATAATAAAAGAAAGAAAAAATAGACCCAAATTGAAGTGCCCTAAATCATTCTTATGTCCCACTAAAGTATGTATATATTAAAAAATAAAACTTTTTTTTTTTTTGAGACAGGGTCTTGCTCTGTCACCCAGGCTGGAGTGCAGTGGTGAGGTCTCAGCTCACTGCAACCTCCACCTCCCGGGTTCAAACGATTGCTCTGCCTCAGCCGCCCGAGTAGCTGGGATTACAGGTGCGCACCATTACACCCAGCTAATTTTTGTTTTTAGCAGAGATGGGGTTTTGCCATGTTGGCCAGGCTGGTCTTGAACTCCTGACCTCAGGTGATCCCAAATTGCTGGGATTACAGGCATGACCCACCACGTCTGGCCAAAAAACAAAACATTTTAAGAGAGATAAATTAGAGTAAATATGTACAACATAAATTAACAACAGAACTAATTTCCTGATAAATTAAAATTTCATGAAAGTCAGTAAGAAAAAAAACCAGTTATTTAATTATAAATCTGGTCAGAAGAAAAAACCAGGCAAGACATATAAAAGTAGTATAAGGGGGCTGGGCACACTGGCTCACACCTATAATCCCAGCACTTTGGGAAGCCGAGGCGGGCAGATCATTTGAGGTCAGGTGTTCAAAACTATCCTGGCCAACATGGTGAAACCCCGTCTCTACTATAAAAAAATACAAAAATTAGCCAGGCGTGGTGGTGCACGCCCTTAATCCAGGCTACTCGGGAGGCTAGGCAGGAGAATCGCTTGAGCCCAGGAGGTGGAGGTTGCAGTCAGAAGAGATTGCACCACTGCACTCCAGCCTGGGTAACAGAGTGAGACTCCGTCTCAAAAAAAAAAAAAAAAAAAAAAAAGGTAGTATAAGGGTGGGCACAGTGGCTCATGCCTGATTCCCAGCACTTTGGGAAGCTGAGGCAGGAGGATCACTTGAGCCCAAGAGTTCGAGACCAGCCTGGTGTTCTCTAAAACAAACAAACAAACAAACAAACAAACACACGATTAGCTGGGCATGGTGGTTCACACCTGTAGTCCTAGCTACTCAGGAGGCTGAGGTGGGAGGGTAGCTTGAGCCCAGGAGTTCAAGGCTGCAGCGGGCTATGATCATGCCATTGCACTCTAGCATGGGCAACAGAGTGAAACCCTGTTTCAAAAAAAAAAAAGTGGTAGTATATGAGAAGATGATTCCCATTCAGAAAGTGAGATACATTCAGTAGTCGTGTATGAGAAGATGGTAATCCTCATTCATAAATTGACATTCATTCATTTAAACATTCATTAAGCTTATTGAAGTGAGCCATTTGGCAAAGTCAGAATCCCGCTGTGTGACCATGTTAAACAGGTTGTGGGACAATGGGCAATTATTCTATTGATATTACCATGCGGGAATGGAAATTGAAACAGTTTTGGAGAATCAGCTTTGGAGACAAGTTATATTTTATCCAGGGATTTCACTCCTAATAGAAGCTGGAGCTACACTTGCAAAGAGACTTGCTATTAAAAATTATAGTACATTCATATAATAATACAATATATTGTCACCAAAAACTAATTAGGCAAGTATGTATGTAATATATATGTAATACTTGTGAGAGTATAGATATGTGAGACACTCGAGATATTGTTTAACTTAAAAAGTAACTGTCAGAGTGTGTATAGAGTAGTTCATTCATGATAAATTTTATATTGTTATATATAATATACTTCCTATGTATAGAAAATAACTGGAAGTCCGTGCAAGAAACTGTTTCCTCTGAGAACTGGAATAAGAGTAAAAAGGGACATTTATTTTTCACTTAATCCTTGTCTATTCTGTTCCCAAAATATTTCTTACCAGCATAGGAAACTCTCAGAGGAAAAACATTTTTTGGAAATATTCGATGTACTTAAGATAATTTTAGGAAGGCATCCTTAAATATTACTATCTTCCAGTTTTATAATTTTTGTCTGAAGTCCAACTTTGAGAAAATAAAACACATTAATGTTGAAGTTGGTGGTCTCTACTGAGACATACAGATGCATATGAACTGGTTAACTTACGTAAGTGATGAAAGTAATAAATTTGATAATATTTAGATAAAAACTTTTTTCTCTTAAAGAAAAATATATTTTGCTATGACAAAATATTTAACAATAAACTTTTATTTCTAATAATCTTCTGTGAATCTGCAGCCATTGCAAGCCTGTTTTTGTTTTTATGGTAATAATATCCAAACAAACCAACCAAAAAATATAGAGCAGGGCCAGGATTTGAAACAGCACACTAATGATGAACGTCTATTAAACTATAAAATCCCAGTAGAAAAATGATACTATATTAAAAATGGCATTATATAAATAAAAATGTGTATTTATTATTTAAATTATTATTTTACTTTAAAAGGGAAAACATGTTAAACCAATTGATTTGATAGGGGTACCGGACTCTTGCTTTCTTCTGTTCCAGATAGGTAATTTTAGAAACCCCTTTTACAAGTGACGTTATTTCTTCATTACTTTAGAAATCTTGGCAAGAAGAGTTTTTGTTTTGTTTTTCTTTTATTTCTTCTACTTTTTTGCAAATCACCTTCATTGTGTCTAGGTGTGACAGGAATCAAAGAGGAGCCGTGCTGAATAAAACTCCTGGCATGGGCCTCTGGTTTTGCAAAAACCACAATAAATAATAATCCTACTTCTCTCTGGTAGCACTTGCCATATGATGAAATATACTACATTACTACAAACAGCAGAAAATCTTAAGTTTCTGCGTTTGCTGAATAATGAAATTGACAAAAGAGAAATTTATTAAGAAATATAAAACAATTGATGACATTTAAAACACATTTTTATTTAATTCACATATATTTATTATAACCCTCACCAGTTTTTTTGTTTGTTTGTTTGTTTGTTTTCTGAGATGGAGTCTCGCTCTGTCCCCCGGGGCTGAAGTGCAGGGGCGCGATCTCGGCTCACTGCAAGCTCCGCCTCCCGGGTTCCCGCCATTCTCCCGCCTCAGCCTCCCGAGTAGCTGGGACTACCGGCGCCCGCCACCACGCCCGGCTAATTTTTTGTATTTGTAGTAGAGACGGGGTTTCACGGTGTTAGCCAGGATGGTCTCGATCTCCTGACCTCGTGATCCACCCGCCTCGGCCTCCCAAAGTGCTGGGATTACAGGCGTGAGCCACCGAGCTGGCCCTCACCAGTCTTAATAATTATTATTATTTCCCCAAAATGAGTAAGTTGAGGCTTTGAGCATGTCTGATGTTACACAACTAACAAACAGCAGGACTGAGTCTGTCTGACCCCAAGCCATCTTAATCATGGGGCCACATTCATGGAGATGAAGCCTTGGTCTACAAACCTGTAAAATTCTACCTTAGTTAACAAGAAAACAAGAACTCCAAAATGCTCATACATATTCTGATTATATGCCAATTAAATTTACTTTTTTTTTCTGAAAGAGCTTTTCCCTTTATCTACTGGGTGATCAATTTTTATCTCCCATGTCCCATATTGGTATGTTATTTACTATGTCTTATACTTTTTTCAGAATAAATGATGCTTAAATGTCCAAATTTTGGTACGTTTTGCAAATAATAATGCAAATTTAAGTATAAATTAGAGAAAAATGGGCTGGGCGCGGTAGCTCGCGCCTGTAATCCCAGCACTTTTGGAGGCCGAGGTGGGCGGATCACGAGGTCAGAAGATCGAGACCATCTTGGCTAACACGGTGAAACCCCGTCTCTACTAAAAATACCAAAAATTAGCCGGGCATAGTGGCGGGCGCCTGTAGTCCCAGCTACTCAGGAGGCTGAGGCAGGAGCATGGCGTGAACCCGGGAGGCGGAGCTTGCAGTGAGCTGAGATAGGGCCACTGCACTCCAGCCTGGGCGACAGAGCGAGACTCTGTCTCAAAAAAAAAAAAAAAATTAGAGAAAAATGCTTTAATCATATTTATAACTAAACCAAACTTTTAATTAATTACATTTAAGTTTCCAGTAAATTTTATTACTTAAAAAGTCCATATAATTCTGGACTAATTATGTTAGCTGATTACCAAAACCCACACTGCTATTAACATGCCTGTGTCAATAATATTTTTTTAACAGTTCATTAGCATGGACTATTACATAATGTTCTCCTTGAAATAATCCATTGTTGCTTCTTCCTTTAAGGAAATTGGATAAATTCATTGCAACAAAATATTTCTATATAATCCGAGTAACAGTTGATACCAAACTGTGTCAAATATGTACAAAAGTGAAAGGGGTATTTAAGTGTGATTTTCCTAAAAAGTAGATATCTAAGTCTGTATAAATAAAATGAATATTTCAAAGATTTACTTATTTGCTTCCAGGCATCAGAATTAATTACCACAGTCCATTTTAAGAAGAGTAAGAGTTAACACCTTTCTCGATGTATAAAAGCAATTCAGTGTGAATAAAGTACCCAGTATATCCAGAACATTGACACTTGAGCTAGACAGAAGTGACCAGCATGATTTCCAAATGATCATTTTTATTAGATAACTGAGGTATTATTAAAGAGAATGTTCCAGTCTTTGAAGTGTAAGTGTCTGCCAAACCAGAAGCCCTGCCCCTTTAATCTGCATTTAATTATATTTTCTTCATGGCCCCTTGGTCTGCTCTTTCTCATACTTAAACAATTTTATTAGTTGTAATGCATCATGAATCTAAGCGTAAATCTGGATGTGAAAGTATCACTAAGAGATATCTCAGCTTAATTCTTTTCTGGGTCGACTCAATTTTAGCAGTTGGGTTTGTTTTCAAAATACGTCCCGAATACATTCTCATAACTCCTGGAGTTGCATATTTGTCTTTATTTTCTATTCCTACTTTACTAAGCACACCTTTAGATAAAAAATCATGGCCATTTTTTCTTCAGCATCCTCACAGTCACCCCATATTCCATTACAGGGGGCCTCTCTATTGCTGTCTAATGAGTATAACTTATCACACTCGCTATTTGGTTTTGACTTTGGAAATTTCTGCACAGTGAAAGTTCTTGAATTTGGGTTTGCTTATTTGAAATCACCAAATATTCACTTAAAATAATAAAAATCAAAATATGTTTTATGAGTATTCAAAATGATGGAATATACTTGATAATTTGGACTAATCTTATGGAGTCAATTTGTCTTTGGCATAATGATCTCAAGATTTTCCTTTACACTTGGTGCTGTCTTAAAAAAACACTCGATAGCAAGACAATTTGAGATTAATCAAAATTAATATTAATTGGCCTAAACTTATTAAACTGAACATTTTACTGTTAAGCAAATTATACCTCAATGTTAAATTCATCCATTTATCCACCCATCCATCCACCCATCCATCCATCCATCCCAAGTCTTCTTCACTGGCGACCAGTCTTTGATCACAAGCTATCTGGGAATTCCACTCAAACCTGCCTCTGCGTGTTGGACACAGTGTACGCTACTGGTGGCAAGTTACTAGCATCTGAGGAGTCTGCTGTTGGCTCTTTAAGTTCTATTCTACTCAAGGGAAACCCCTCTTGCCTCTCGGCCACACACGTCCCCAAGTAAAGGCAACCTGCATCTGAAGTCAGGTTGGGTGTAGTTCAAGGAAGGGGAGGATCTTTTACTGGCTGCATTTTCATAGACTTTGTTCTCTTCTTCAAAGGCCTCTATGAAAATTCATATGTGAGAATTGCACCTTAAAATCTGGGACTGAGTAACAACACCTTATAAACCAGTTGGCCTCAATGGTATGTTTCTTGTTTTCTGTCTTTCCTCGTTAAAATTGTTCTTTTTTATAGAAACAATATGCCTTCTTAATTTCTAACTTCATGCTAGATTTCTCCATTTATCTGTCTTACTGAGCATGGAGTACTTAAGAGCATTTAATGATCAAAAATATAAGTTAAATAAAAGATAATGCAATTTTTCAGATGAGAAAACTAAAAGTCAAGTACTTGAAGTGCATATACATAACTAGAGTAGCATTTAGAGAGAAAAAATATTAATTGACCTGATATTATAAATATATTTTTATACTTTTCAAAGTGCGCACACACACTTATGCACATAAAATTTAACCAACATTTGCATATGTGCCAAATACTGTTTTACACGCTTCATAAATATTCACTCGTTTAATCCTCATGATAAACTAGAACACAGATACTATTATTAGGCAGCTTTACAGATGGAAGTGTGAAGAGGTTTGCCTATGGTTATGAAAATAGTAAGTGATTTGAACCTCTATGTCATACTGAGTATCATGGTGTAGAAAAAGGAAGCTTACAACGTAGGCCAGATAAATATTATCATCTCCATTGGGGAAATGCAGAAATCCAGGCAGGGAGCATTTAAATGTTTGGCTCCAGGGTACTTGAATAGATTGGAGCTATTCCAGGAACCCATAATGAAGGTTAGTTCTGATTCCTGTCCAATTTTTTCCCCATTATGTTATATTGCCAAAGTTTCTGCAGTCTTGATAATCACACCAAGCAAATATGAGTTTGTTAAATTATTTCTCCAAGATATAATTTATTGATATTAAATTTTAGCATTAGAATAAATGTTTATGAAAACACAATCAGGATGCAAAATAAAAAAAAAGTTGAATTTAGTACATAAATGATATGAACAAAATGCATGAAGTACCAAGCTTCAAATGCAGTATTTCAGATCAATAGTTTATACCATTTTAATTCAACAAATGTCTATTGAATGCTTAATATATTCATGGGCTATAGAATAAAACTAAGAAACAGAGGAGATCTAATCCCTGACTTCAAGTTACGAATCATCAGACAAGCACGTAGGATTCTATCATTTTTTTTTTATCTTAGGAAGGAAAATAAAATGATTTTGAAGACACTCAGCAACAGGTATGGTTTAATATAGGGCTTGGATTACTTTTTCCTTTCCTAATTGTACCATATAAATAACGATGAAATTGAATTAAGAAAATATGGTGTTGAATCACAGCAATATATGATCTTAATCAAATCCTGTAATCTCTTTTATATTCAGATCATCCATTGTTAAAATATAATTCGTAATGCTTACCTCAAAAGTTAGGAAAATAAAATACTATATAAAGGATTGTGTAAACCATAGCATGCTGTAAAAACTGAATTAGATCATCTAAGTGAAATTAATATTTACATTTAAAGCATAGAGACCTATTTGTAGTCAATTACACCTTACTATTACCTGAGGAAAATGCAAAGGAAGATTCATTGCAGTGTACCTGTGGAGAGCCACAGGCTGTGCCAGAGACTGTAAATAACATAATCTCAATTACTCTTCATCATGCCTCTATAAGTGGTCATCGCATAATATGAGGAAGCTGAGTGTCAACGTGACTCTATGACATCTCTGAGGTCATAGCATTAGAACGTAGTAGAACTTAGGTCTCATTTCAAACTTAGGTCTTTCTAGCTTGAAAAGCTCTTTCCATACCTCCATGCCATCTCAGCAATTTGGGTTGGCTGAATTTCTTAAGATGTGTTAATATTTTTAAGTGTGATAAAATATACCTATATAAAAGTTACATAAGTTATCTGAGGTCAGGAGTTTGAGAACAGCCTGGGCAAAATGATGAAACCTCGCCTTTACTAAAAATACAAAAATTAGCCAGATGTGGTGGCAGGTGCCTGTAGTCCCAGCTACTTGGGAGGCTGAGGCAGGAGAATCACTTGCACCCGGGATGCAGAGGTTGCAGTGAGCTGAGATCGCACCACTGCACTCCAGTCTAGGCGACAGAGTGAGACTCTGTCTCAAAAAAAAAAAAAAAATGTTATAAGCCAGGCGCAGTGCCTCATGCCTGTAATCCCAGCACTTTGGAGGCCAAGGCGGGTGGATCATGATGTCAGGAGTTCAAGATCAGCCTGGCCAACATGGTGAAACCCCATCTCGAACTAAAAATACAAAAATTAGCCAGGCATGGTGGCCCGTAATCACACAGGTGGTAGCCTGTAATCCTAGCTACTTGGGAAGCTGAGGCAGGAGAATCTCTTGACCCAGGAGGTGGGGGTTGCAGTGAGCCAAGATGGCACCACTTCACTCCAGCCTGGGTGACAGAGACTCCATCTCAAAAAAAAAAAAAAGTTATATAAATTATCATCCTAACATTTCTAAAAGTACACTTCAGTGAACATCATTACATTGTTGTGCAACCGTCATCAATATCCATATCCAGAACCCTTTCAATCTTGTAAAACTGAAACTCTAACCATTAAACAAGAACTCACCATTGCCTTTCCACCAGCTGCTGACAACCCCCATTCTATTTTCTGTCTCTATGAATGTGACTACTCTAAGTACACTGTGTAAGTGGGATGATTAGTGAAACACCAGGAGTTCAGTCTAGGTTCTTCTACTGGCTGCACAGAAAGCCAAGAACTGAGACAATGAGTATTGCCAAGGAAGAAGGCTTTAATCGGGTGCTGCAGCCGAGGAGACAGGAACTCAGTCTCAAATCCATCTCTCTGACCAACTACAACTAGGAGTTTATATAGCAGGGAAGGAATGTAACAATGTGTAAGGAAACAGGAACTAGTGAGGGGCAAGGAAGCCATCATGATGAATGAGGGGTCTGGCATCTCATTGTCTGGATGTGGTAACTGGGTGAGTTTCAGTTCTTTAATACTTTTTTTTGAGAGGCCTGAAGGTCATTTCCTGAAGAAGGAACTCAGAAAAAACAAATATAAGTTTCAAACTTTAATACCAAAGGGGTCAATTTCTATGTTCATCAAAATTTTTTTTAAAAAATGGGACTATTCGGTCTGTTTCAGAATCATACAGTATTTATCCTTTTATGACTGGCTTATTTCACTCAACATAATGACCTACAGTTGTAGCATGTGTCAGAATTTCCTTCCATTTTAAGGCTGAAAAATATTTTATTGTAAGTAAATGTCATAGTTTGTTTATTCCGCCAGCAATGAACACTTGGCTTACTTCCACCTTTTGACTATTGTTAGTAATGCTGCTTATGAACATAAGTGCAAAAATATCTGTACAAGTGCTTCATTTTAATTATTTTTGATATATACCCAGAAGTGAAATCACTGCACCATATGGTAATTCTATTTTTAATTTTTTGAGTAACCACCATACTGTTTTCCATAGTGGCTGCACCATTTTATCTCCCACCAAAAATGCAAAAGTTTTCCAGTTTATCCACATCCTTGCCAATGCTTGTTATTTTCTGATTTTTTTTTAATAGTAGCAATCCTAATGGGTATCAAGTGGTGTCACAGTGTTTTGCCAGTCAGGGTTTTGACTTCCATTTCTCTAACAATTAGTGGTATCAAGCATCTCTTCATGTGCTTATTAGCTATGTGTGTATCTTTTTTGTAGAGATGTCTATTCAAGGCTTTTGTCAATGGTTTAATTGGGTTTCGTGTGTGTGTGTGTGTGTGTGTGAGTTGTAAGAGTTCTTTATATATTCTGAATAACTCTAATCAGTTATATTATTTGCAAATGTTTCCCATTTTATGGGTTGCCTTTTCACTCTGTTGATTATAGCCTGTTTTGCACAGAAGTTTTTAACTTTGGTGTAGTCCAATTTACTTATTTTTCTTCGTTATCTATGCTTTTATTGTCATATCCAAATAATCAATGCCAAATCCAGTGACATGAAGCTTTCCCCTTATATTTTTGTTTAAGAGTTTTATAGTTTTAACTCTTATGGGTTAGGTCTTTGATCCATTTTTAGTTAACTTTTTGTATATAGTCTATGGTAATGGTTCAACTTAACTCTTTTGCATGTGGTTATCTTGTTTTCTCAGGACCACTGGTTGAAAAGACTGCCCTTTCCCTATTGAATATTCTTGGCACCCTTGTTGAAATCATTTGACCATGTATGTGAAGGTTTATTTCTAGGCTCTCTATTCCATTTTGTTGGTCTATACTCTTGTCTTTATGACAATAACCACTGTTTTGATTACTGTAGCTTTGCAGTGAGTTTTTAAATCATGAAGTACGAGACCTCTAACCTTGTTTTTCTATTTCAAGATTATTTTGGCTATCATAGATTCCTTTAATTTCCATTTGAATTTAACAATGAATTTTTCCATGTCTGCAAAAAAGGTCGAGATTTTGATAGGGATTGCATTGAATCTGTAGATCATTTTGGGGAACACTACTATCTTAACAATATAAGTCTTCTAATTCATGAATATCGATGTCTTTCCACTTATGTATATATTTCTTTTATAGTTTTCAGAGTACAAGTCTTTTGCCTCAGTGGTTAAGTTTGTTCTTAAGTGTTTTATTCTTTTTAATGCTATTGTAAATTGAATTGTTTTCTTAATTTCCTTTGGGTTGCTCATCATTAATACACAGAAATGCAATTGATTTTTGTGTGTTGATTTTGAATTCTGCAACTTTGCTGAATTCATTTTTATGTAATAGTTATGGTTTTCTACACATAAGATTATGTGATCTGTGAACAGATATAAATTTACTTCTTCCTTTCTCATGTGGATGACTTTTATTGCTTTTTCTTACCTAATTACTCCAGGTAGGACTTCTAACACTAAGTAGAACAGAAACGGTGAAAGAGAGCATCCTTGTCTTGCTCCTCTTGATCTTAGAGGGAGACCATTCAGTCTTTAACCATTGAGTACGATGTTAGTTCTGGGTGTTTATATTTGGCCTTTACTGTGTTGACGAAGTTTCCTTCTATTACTAGTTGTTGAGTGTTTTGTAATAGAGCATCTTGTCAAATTTTTTCTTTCTGCATCAGTTGAGATCATCACATGGTTTTTGTCCTTCATTCTGTGAATGTAGGGCATTACTTTGATTTTCATATATTTACCATTCTTGCATTCTAGGACTAAAGCCCACTTTGCCATGATGTAAAATTCTTTTAATGTCTTGTGAGTTCTGATTGCTAGTATTTTCTTGAGGATTTCTGCATCAGTATTAATCAGGGATATTGGTCTGTACTTTCTTTTCTCATAGTATACTTGTCTGATTTTGGTATCAGGGTAAATCTGGTCTCGTAGATTGAGTTTGGCAGTACTCCCTCCACTTTGCTTTTTATTAAGAGTTTGAGAAAGATTTGTTTTAATTGTTCTTTAAATGTTTGCTACAATTATCCAGTGAAGTCATCTAGCCCTTAGCTTTTCTTTGCTGGGGGGTTATTACAGAGTTAATCTCCTTACTGTAAGTCTCTTGAGATATTCTGATTCTTCGTGATTCAATCTTGGCCATTTGTGTGTTTCTAGGAATTTGTCCATCTCACCTAAGATGTTCAGTTTGTTGGTATACAATTGTTCACAGTACTCTTTTACAATCCTTTTTATTTCTGCAAAATTGGTAGTAATGTCTCTTCTTTCACTTCTGATTTTCAGTTGAGTCTTCTTTCTTCCTAAATCATTCTAGCAAAGATTTCTCAATTTTGCTAACCTTTTTAAAGAACCAATTCTTTGTGTAAAAAGTTTAATATTTATATTAGCTTTACTATTTTGTTTTTATTCAAATTTATTAGCTTGATAATACATTTGGGTATTAAAATTAAAAGATACGGCTGGGTGCAGTGGCCTATGGCTATAATCCCAGCACTTTGGGAGGCTGAGGTGGGCAGATCGTCTGAGGTCAGGAGTTCGAGACCAGCCTGGCCAATGTGGCAAAACCCTGTCACTACTAAAAATCCAAAAAAAAAAAAAAAAAAAAAAAAGCTGGATATGGTGGCTCATGCCTGCAGCCCCAGCTACTCGGGAAGCTGAGGCAGGAGAATCGCTTGAACCTGGGAGGCGGAGGTTGCAGTGAGCCGAGATTGCACCACAGCATTCCAGCCTGGGTGCCAGAGCGAGACTCTGTCTCAAAAAATACGTGTGTGTGTATGTATATATAATACAACTAATCACACACTTAGTAAATGGCACACCCAGGATTAAACACAAGCTTTCCTGACATAAGTGCCATGATCTGCTCACCCAACATATTGTATTGTGTCTGGAATTTATTCCTTCTGGTGGGTTCTTGGTCTGGCTGACTTCAAGAATGAAGCCACCGACTCTCGCCACGAACGTTACAGCTCATAAAGGTAGTGCAGACCCAAAGAGTGAGAAGCACCCACGACTTATTGTGAAAAGTGAAAGAAAGCTTTCATAGGGAAAGGTACCCAAACCGGTTGCTACTGTTGGCTCTGGTGGCCAGCTTTTATTCCCTTATTTGGCCCCACCCACGTCCTGCTGATTGGCCCATTTTACAGAGCGGTGATTGGTCCATTTTACAGAGCACTGATTGGTCCATTTTACAGAGTGCTGATTGGTCCGTTTTTACAGAGTGCTGATTGGTGCATTTACAAACCTTTAGCTAGACACAGAGTGCTGATTGGTGCGTTTATAATCCTCCAGCTAGACAGAAAAGTTCTCCAAGTCCCCACATGAGTCAGAAGCCCGCCTGGCTTCACCTCTCAGTATGTAGCTTTCTAACTCCACTTTTAAAACCTTAAATGTCATATTTAATATAACTGATGGTACGGTAAAAGATGAGGTTGTTTAAAAAGTAAAATCATCACTCAGTGAACATGCTTACTTTTAACACGTAACTGAGACAACAGAGAATTATGAAACTACCCTGATATGTAGATCCCAGGGAAGAGGAGGGACCAACAACTTAGAAAGCAGGTCAGTAAAAATGTTGTTCCTAAAGACAGACTAAGTCTATACTAATGTGTACACAGGGGGATGGGAGAGGTTGATAGGGCTGTGTTTGCCTCTGCCATTTTGGGGCTCCATCCCCAGTACCATTTTTCTTAGCAATAGTGGACTTATTCCTGTGAAATGTCAATTTGTTCTACAGAGCAATTTCTCTCCAAAACTTTATAGACAACATTTTCCAGGATAAAATGAATAGTTATAGAATAAGTATTATAAGGCCAAATCTGTAAAACGCCTCTTAAAAATCAGGCAAGCCTCCATCTATATGTGTATGTGCCAGACCTGTCATTTCTTTCAGTATTTGTCAAAGGATTTCCAGACTATTAGCATAGTTGGCATTTGTTTAATTAACACTGGAGGTTGTAAATCAAAGTGAAGACTTAAATGTATTCTGTGAGACTCATGTTTCTCACTGCTAAGAATAATTGCACTTTCTAAAGAACTGAAAATTGGCAACTAAGAGTACAAATTTGGATAATTTCACAATAGTTGTTATGCCTATTATCTTCTTCTAAAAAATACATAAAATATTTTATTATCTACAATTAGTTGACACAAATTTTATAGAATTGGGAATATTGATCTTTGTATCTTAAATTTTACATATTTGGTTTATATTCATATTACCCAGCAATTATATTTAAAAGCAGAACTTAATCCTCACTCATCAAATCATATAATCATTTAGTTAGGAGGAAGATTAGGGGTTTTCTTATTCTGCTTTGGAGAGATCTACCCACTGTTTTAATATAATCTTATTTAAAAGGCTCTTCAGTAACCAAAAATTTGTAGCCTCTTTTTTTTTTCTTTCCAGTGCTAAGTCATTTTAAGGTCAGTTTTGTACCTTTATCAGATGGGCATTCTTTCTTTCTATTATTTAATAACATGTTCTCTAGTGTTTTTGTGTTTGTTTTTTTTTGAGACAGAGTCTCACCGTGTCGCCTAGGATGGAGTGCAGTGGAGTGATCTCTGGTCACTGCAAGCTCCGCCTCCGGGCTTCAAGCGATTCTCCTGCCTCAGCCTCCCAAGTAGCTGGGACTACAGGCGCCCGCCACCATGCCCAGCTAATTTTTTGTATTTTTAGTAGAGATGGGGTTTCACTATGTTGGCCAGGCTGGTCTCGATCTCATGACCTCGTGATCCACCCGCCTCGGCTTCCCAAAGTGCTGGGATTACAGGTGTGAGCCACCGCACCTAGCCCGTGTTCTCTAGTTTGTGGAGATTTCATAAATTTATCAGCGTATCCAGTTTCGAAGTCTTTGTGCTGCTCTGTGCCAGCAGGGGACGCCAGTGAACCTGATCCAGGGATATCATTCAATCCCAGAGCCTGGCGTGAAACAGCGCTGGAACGTGTGAGGGAAACGAGCTTGCTCAAAGATCACCATCCCTTAGATCTGTTCTTTCTTTGGCTTCGGTGGGACAAGTCACGGGACCACCATTCTCCCAATCATCAAGCTTGGGTTCAGCGTCCTCTTTTCTCCTTTGGACTCATATGTCATCGGCTCTAATTTACCAGATATTGCCTTCCTCCTAGCTGTTCACATTGCCATTGTCTTCACCCGCCCCTGCTTGGCACATGGCAGTAAACACTGAACACATCTCCTTTCTTTGGCTTATGTCTCTAATCAAGTCTTCACGCTTCTTAGTGTGGATTCTTCCTTACTCTCTATTTTTGCCTTTATTGGTTGATTGATCTTATTGTTCTTTGCGAGCCACAATATGTTTACATTTGAAAATTAATTACCAACTTGAAAATTATGAGTTTTGCATGAAATTCTAGATTTTTAGGTTCTTAAAATGTAACCAAGTACCCCATTTTTCTTTTTCTTTTTTCTTTTGTTTTTTAAGATGGAGTTTTGCTCTTGTTGCCCAGGCTGGAGCACAGTGGCACGATCTCAGCTCACTGCAACCTCCACCTCCCGGGTTCAAGCGATTCTCCTGCCTCAGCCTCCCGAGTAGTTGGGATTACAGGCGCCTGCTGCCACACCCAGCTAATTTTTGTATTTTTAGTAGAGACAGGGTTTCACCATGTTGGCCAGCCTGCTCTCGAACTCCTGACCTCATGATCCGTCGGCCTTGGCCTCCCGAAGTGCTGGGATTACAGGCGTGAGCCACCGCCCCGGCCCCCAGTTCTCCCTATTTTTCTACGGGTGGTTTAATTATATTTTTCCCTCTCACTCTGTTTTCTCCTTTCCCTGGCTCTCTGCTTTCTGCTTAGCTCTGCTGAAATGCAAATATAATCTCTCACCTCTCCCTCACAGGACATTGCCTACACAGCAAGTTCCTCTAACTTCGTGCTCCAAGACAGGTCTCTCCTCCAGAGCTGACGGTGGATTTACAGACCAAAGCATGTCCCCATGGAACTCTCACCTCCAGGGGCGTGCCTCGGAACTGCCATCCTCCAGGGGTGACCTAGGAACTCATACGCACCAGGACAGCACATCGAAAGCATGACCACTTGGCTACTTTTACAACTGAACTCTGCACAGGAAGGTGCCAACTCAACTGCCTGGTAGGTAACTGACCAGAAGCAGTGGGACCCCTGCCCTTGCTCATGTCCTCCCTTACCCTATGAAAATGCCCACTTTTTGCAACAGAGGAGAAGCGGCACATTCAAAGGCGGGATGCTTTGTGCCCCTTCCCCCAAGCTAACTTCGGAATAAATTCACTTATTTTGGATCAGATTTCCCTCGTTAACTGAACTGTACGTGCAGTGAGCAAGTAACCTGCATTTCAGTTACAAATTACAGAAGACCTGGCCACTCAGAGTAGATAGCCTCATCTAGTTTCAGATGAGAGAGAGCAATGAAAGTTTCTGCTTTTTTAAAAAACAAACAAACAAAAAAAACCTGGCTTGTCTTGAAACTAGGAGAATCAGGTATTCTACCCCTTTTTGGCATGACTTAAACTTACTACCAGTGTAAAGCCTTAACTCGTTCTCAGATACAAACAAGCTCTTAAGAGCAAAGGCTGCCTGAGCAGCTTATTGCACGGAGGAAGCAGGAGAAGAGAAAAGATTATGTGAATATCATGCAAGTAGTAATGAAGAATAAAAACAGGAAAGTATTAATCGAAGATGTGATTTTCCCTATGTAATCAAGAATTTTGTCATGCTTACTCCATGAGGCAGGTAAGTACGGAGGAAGGTAACAGTGACCAGAAGATTCCCTTTAGTAAACATCTCCTCAGGGATCTGTGAAGTCAGGAATCTCAGCTCCTGTTACAAATCGAAGGCCATTAATTACCATGGTGTCTGAAGTTGTCAATAGCCCACCCCTTTAATTCCCACATAATCACTTCAATTATTGTGCTCATTGTATGTAGTTATTGCTTGTCTCCTCCCACAGAATGTAAGACCCATGACAGAAGAGACCATATCCATCTTTTTAGAAAAGTCCTTGACCTGTAATACTCATTCAAAAATGGTTATGGAATTGATGAATTCTACAACCTGAAAAAAAAGTTAATACTCTGTCTTCTGAAAAACAAAAACAATACAAAACAAGTGCATTATCTTCAATGGCCTGCAGTATAATAATATTAAAAACTGTAGCCTTATTTTCAAGGTCTTGAGGACCTGAATGATCTGTTCCAAATCTAGTATCCTCTGTTTCTTTCCAAATTCTTCTGTCTAGACATCCTGTGCTCCAGCCACAGAAAGTACTTTCATTCCCTCGGCTTATGCTTTTTTTTTTTTTTTCTTTTGAGAGGGAGTCAGTCTCTGTCGCCCAGGCTGGAGTGCAGTGGCGCGATCTCGGCTCACTGCAACCTCCACCTCCCAGGTTCAAGCGATTCTCCTGCCTCAGCCTCCCAAGTAGCTGGGACTACAAGCACACGCCACCACGCCCGGCTAATTTTTTGTATTTTTAGTAGAGACGGGGTTTCACCGTGTTAGCCAGGATGGTCTCGAACTCCTGACCTCGGGATCCACCCGCCTTGGCTTCCCAAAGTGCTGGGATTACAGGAGTGAGCCACCGTGCCTGGCCCAGGTTATTCTTTTAAACTGTTCAGACCATCTCACATTGCATCCTTCGCTCATGCACTGTTTTGCTCAATCTTTACCTTTTCTCTTCCACATCATCTTACAAGAACCACCCAGGTGGTATGTTCTCACTGACGTTTCCACCATTCCCCTTAGAATGAACCTCTCTCCTCTGATTTCCTGTGGTATATCACAACATGCATTTTAATCTTTTCCACACTTACTGTGTTTTATTACTCTCTCCTCCATCTAACTGGAAACTCATTGCGAAGAGAGAGATTTGGATATCCACCTTCCTGTTGACTTGCCCAGATGTCTATCACGGTGCCTTCCGTATCCCAGGAGGACGTTGAACATTGGCAGGCATGCCTAGCTGAAAGCCGATGCACCGAGGCCTGCTCCATGCTAAGGCTGTAATTCTTCACCCCAAGAATCTTCATTCTGGTCTTCAAGTATTCAAGGTAAACAGTCAGTTGTAGGCAATAATGTTATGTGACTTCTTCTGTAATTCCTTCTTCTTTTGTATCTATTTTTGCCTGGGTGGGGGTGGGAGAAAGGGGTGTGAGAAACTCAAGTCCTGATGTCATGGTTTGCTCTTCCTTTTCAACATTCATAGACCCCAGGTCCCAGTGCCCAAAGAGTCTCTTTCTTTTATCTACTAATTATTAACTGGGGATGCAAAGCAGAATCTCCAGCTTGAGGCACCCAAGGTGTCTCCTGTCAGAGCTCCATTTCAATAGTACATGTTATGGTTTGAATGTGTCTCCAAAAGTTTATGTGTTGAACACAGGAGTAAATTCATTATGGGGTGAGTGGGTTTGTTATAAAAGTGAGTTCAGCCTCCTCTTGCTGTGTGTCTTATGTGCTTTCTTGCACTGCCACCTGGCACCGTGGAAGAATGCAGTGAGAAGCCCCTCACCAGATGCTGGCCCCTAAATCCTGACCTTCTCAGCCTTCAGAACTGTGAGGAAGCAAATTTCTGTTTATTATAAATTACCCAGTCTGTGGCATTCTGATATAGCAGCGAGAAACAAAGACAGCACTCCTCTGTCTGAGCGTCCACACTCTCCTCCCTGAATCCTGATGAGCATATTGTCTGTCCTCCCTCAGGCACAAGTGAAGCAGCCTACTCTGCGACACAATGGCTCCTGGCCCTTTGGCATTAGGGAGGGAAACACGGAGCAGGGAACCCCTGAGTGTGCTGCTTCACAATGCACGATCCCCAGGTGCTGGGAAGGGCTGACAAGTAAGATCAGAGGGACAAATGAGAACATGGGGACAAGTTGTGAGATGAGGGACCTGTGGCTCTGGAATTGTATTTCTGGGAAACTGCAAGGAAGCTGTGTGTGTGTGTGTGTGTGTGTGTGTCTGTGTGTGTGTGTGTGTGTGTCTGTGTGTGTGCAAGTATTTGAAAGAAACTAAAAATAGAGAAATTCAATCATACTAGTATCTCCAACTGCTTCTGAGTCTGTGACTAGACCAATGATAATAAATGATAAAGAACTACCATGCATTTATTTATTCAAGAAACATTTACTGAATACCTGCCCTCGTTCAAGTAAAAGACTTAATGGTAGGAAAGTCATATGTTAAATAAATTCAATTTTTGTTACAAAGAAATACAAGACTGCCATTAGAGAATACACAGGGGACCTGATATGTCTGCTCTGTGGGGGAAGGTTCTCCCTAAATGTAAAGTTTAAGATGAAACCCGAGGGATAAGTAGCTGTTATGAGAGGGAGGATTAGAGGAACATTACAGTGTAGGGGAAATCTTTGTATCAAGACACATTTTGAGGCCGGGCAAGGTGGCACATGCCTATAATCCCAGCACTTTGGGAGGCTGAGGCGGGTGGATCACCTAAGGTCAGGAGTTCGTAACCAGCCTGACTAACATGGTGAAACCCCATCTCCACTAAATACAAAAAAATTAGCTGGGCGTGGTGGTGCATGCCTGTAATCTGAGCTACTTGGGAGGCTGAGACAGGAGAATCCCTTGTACCTAGGAGGCAGAGGTTGCAGTGAGCCGAGATGGCGCCATTGCACTCCAGCCTGGGCAACAAGAGCAAAACTCCCTCTCAAAAAAAAAAAAAGAAAAAGAAACATTTTGATCAACCACTAGAATTGTATTGTGGTTGGAGCAGAAAGTAAGAAGAGTGATAGGGCTACTGAGGTGGGTAGGACTGGAGCATGGAAGCTGTTCTGGAATGGACTTGGTCTGCATCCTTGAGGACATGGGGGCCAATAGAGATGCTTAGCAGGGAAATGACAGGTGCAGGCTTGCATTTTTAAAGCTAAATCACTATAGCAAGGCAAGGGAGGCAAGAGGACAAAACTAAAATTATGTTTCAGAAGTTGAATAGCAACACCATGGCAGTGTGTGTGAACTGCAATGCCATTCAAGCCTATTTGCTTTACTATATTGTAAGTTATGTGTGTCCTTATATATATCAGATTAACAGTATGCTTGCTTGCTTGGCTGCAGTGCTAACCTCTGAAAACATGTATTCAGCCTGCATCCATAATATGGTAGTGGCAAGGTATTAACAGAACCAGGTATAGGTGAAATGTTTTCTGAATTTTCCTCTTGTTTCCTCTCAAGATTGTGATCCAGCTTCCCTCATCTAATTTATTTGCTCCACTCATTCATATGGATGAGAAATCTTTATTTATTTTTTAAGCCTATACATGGCTGATTATTTGTAAACTTAAAGAAACTGTCCCAGAAACTCTTCTGCTCAGTGTAAGGGTCAGATAACAGCTATGAAAACATTACTGACTGCAAAAAAAGTACATGTTTCCTGCCCAAGAGAAAGAGCATAGTGGCCCCAATTCAATCTCCTAATACAGCTATTAGAAAAAGAAGAATGAGTTTTCTGCTCAGAAAATATTCTTTCTTCTCAATAGCTCACTCCATGGCTAACTGTCCACTTTGTACAGCAAAAGTTAGTTCTGTCCAAGTATTTCAATTTGGCAGAACAGACTTTAAGGCCAAAATAATTTAGTAAAAAATTCACTAATCTTCCATTTCATGGCAGGGAATATTGAAGATCATTTGATAAAAAGAAACATTATAAACGTTAGGTAACAACTATCAGGAATTGAACTGTGTGATTTGTTAAGGGAATTCACATATGCCTTATTTCTTCTTATAAACTGAAATTCAACCACATCTCAGACTTAGAAAAATAGAATTTTAAAGATTATAAGATTTATAATAAATAGAAATTTCAGAATAGGAAATACAGAATCTTGAGATTGAAACAAATGACCACTAGTCCAACACCATCTCATACTTCAATCTTCTCAAGGGCATTCTAATCAATTGGTAGTTTTTCCTGCGTTTAAGGATTTGAAGTGTCAGAGGTCTCAATAGTTTCAGAAAAGGACTTCTAGAGAGAGCTGCTATCTCTTCAGTTACCCCCGAGATCAAGCGAATCGAGCGTACTTCCTCTGGACCTAACAGTCTCATGGCACACCCCCAGCTCTCCACCTGGGCCACACTGGACACGGCAGTTACTTCTCGTTTCATCCTAGCTGTGCTCCTGCGCATGAAAACTTCATCTGCTCCCTGCAGCTTCCTTGATTTTGCCAGGCCTGACTTTTAACGCTTACTGTATAAGCAATTAACAGGATTTGAAAAGTCAATGGGAAACAGATCTTCAAGAGCATTCTCTGAATACCAGCACCCCGTGAAGCGGTTTTAAAATGTGCAGCATCGCCCTAGAGATACTCTGACCCCAGTCAATTATTAGGGGGATTATGAGAGTCCAAACAGCATTTATCAAACTGACAGAAAAAAACAAAATCCCAAACTAGTACATACCTTTTGTAGCAAGTTATTTTAGTAGAAGAAGTTTTGCTTTTGAAAATATGGATGAAACTACAGGTTCATTTCTCTGCTTAGTCAGAATATGGAATAATAATGAAGGGGCCACTTTTTACAGAAGCTTTCCAATAGCCTCACTTCCTACTGCTCCTCCTTTTCACCCTGAGTCCTAAACTAACTCCAAAGATAAATTCCCAGCCCTGGGCAAGTAGTCTCCCAGAGGGTAGCACTGTTACAAGAAGATAGAACATATCATAGGTTCTTCCTCATAGCGTGGCCCTCGGGGACACCTGATGTGTGCCCATAGTGTTGATTAAAAATTCCCCTTCCATCCTATAGCACCCTTAGCCTTGGGTTATTTCAAATTAGACCTGCTCTTTTCCCAGTTGAAAATGGAGTACCACCTGTAGACGCTTTTTTCTCTTGTTAGCATGGTATAATGATTTAATGAGAATCGCTGGGTTACAAATGCACAGATGACTTTCCTTTTATTCCTTTTTTCTATTTGATAAAATTATCTCAACAGAACGACACTAACACTTTTATTTCCTTTGCGGGGAAAAGCGTGTCCTTCTACTGATCAGAATAGCTAACTTCAACTTTCCTTTGTCATCGTCCTGGTATCTCTTTAAGCTATGACAATCCAGTACATACCTGATACCCTCAGTAATTGTGATAAGTTGAATAGAAACAGTGCCTTCATCTCAAAAACTGTTTAACATTTTACTGTTCAATATATTCTACTACTCATGGGAGTACCAAGAAATAAGATTTTACAAATCATTATCAGAAGAAAGATACTCATCAAATATATAATCATTCTTAAGGAGAAATAGTGGATTGCTTTTTTTCTCATTTGAAGCATTGACTCTAGACTCATTTATAGCAAAATGATTTATTTATCATTGCTGAGCAGAGGAAATTGCTTTTTAAAAAATCAGCACTCCTTTATTTTCTAAAATAATCATGGTAGCACAGAAGACACTAAGAATTGGCACTGTCACCTGAATTCTCTCCACCCTCCAAACCTGCCATTTCCCTGGGAGCCTTAAGATCAGCTTGAATTGACTTTCCCAAGAGTTGTTTTTCTGTCTTTTCCCTAATTTCCTGAGGTTTCTGTATGTATGCCTAAGAGCCAATAATTGTCTTGAAGAGACCGACATAAAAATAAATGAGATGTCTAAAATTCATTTTTATCTCATAAATGTTACACCTTGTCAATTAAAACAAATATCCCTTTTCTGTGCCAAGAAACTATTTTCTTTTATATTCACAATCTGCTTCAACTGCCATCGGGTACAAGAAAAACCTCTAACAGATGGGAATTGGTAAATGGCAATTGCAGCTAGAGCTGACTATATGAATAACAAATGGAAGATGTATTCTGTGAGTTACCTTGGAAGGCAAATATGCTTATGAGGGCTTTGTACGATGTTGTGACATCAGTTCTGAGAATAAGATTGAGGCCTGCAAATTGAATCAAAGGAAATGTTATATATATATGTAAATAGATGTAATATATATATACGCACACACATACACATCCTGTGTGTATATATGGTGTGTATGTATGTACACACACCATATATGTATAGATATATGCACACATATATACATATATATGTGTATATATACGTATATGTGTGTGTGTATATGTGATGTGTATATATATCGCCCTTTATCTCACATTCCATAAAGTCATCAAGGTTGTCAAGACCTTTCTGTTGTTTTTAGAAATATTTTGGATAAGTAAAAAAGGTATGACAATTTCAAAGCTGGAAGGATTATACAGTCATCCTAAATTTATGGGCTGCAATGGTCTTACATTAACCTTTAACCTCACTTTTCATGAGAAATAGACAGAAATATTTAGTTGGGTAAATGCAGTGATTATTCTCTTTCTAGGAGCATAAACTGCTGTAAACTTGGGGCCTAGAGAAAGGCTTAGATCGCAGTCATTCTCTTGGCTTTGATTCCAGATGTTTGTACAGACTCAGTAAAGTGAAGTCTCTGTCCTCTTTCGGGGCAAAACCATAGGATTGTCCATCTCTGCTTTTCATTCCTCCCCAAACCCGCTGCCTGCTGCTCCTCTCACACTTTTCTTTCGAGTCTTCCCAGCACTTGCTTAAGAATACCAGTGGCAAGAGGCGTGCAGCCCATGAAGAACAGTCCTGGGTGAAAGCTGGGCTGGCAGGGGGAAGAAAGCGCAGGTGGATTTCCTCCATGGCTTTTGCTTTTCCCCATTCACCTGTGCTTATGTAATCACAGCCTGGAGTTTTCAGGAATAAAGCGACTAGTTATCACTGCTGGTTACACGGGTTGGTCCCAACCTGAATTCTGTACTACCCTTTCAATGAGAGACGCAGGTATGGGAGAAGGGACTTGACAGGAGACGGAGGTTTACTTTTCTCCTAGGACCTTTTGTTTGTTTTCAGAAATTAAAAAAAAAAAAAACACAATAACCACAATCATATAAGATGTTTAAATCCAATATATGAGCATGCCATTATTTTCATTGATCTTTGAAACGGATTCAGTACATTCCTATGAAGCAATGGAACACAATTTGGGATGAGAATTTCTCCAAGTGAGATTCACATTATCATTATGGCTGTCAAGGATTTAGAAATTAGGTTGTTTGCTGATTACTCTTCAATCATTCAATCAACAAGAAGGTATGCTGGGAATATAATGAGTTTTCTTAACCTCAAATTGAAGATGAACATCAGTTTGTTTTTTATTTTTTTGGTTTTGTACAACATCATAATTGAAGAGATCATCACAATCAAAGTATGTTTGCATTCAAAATCATCATCATCATCAACACTTAAAAATACTTTTTCAAACTTTATCATGCTTTTCTATCCATGCGGTACCCATGTATGCTGAGTCACACAGATAACTGCACAGAGACCCTGATTTTCCCTATCGTCTCCCCATGCTGAGTCACACAGATAACTACACAGAGACTGATTTTCCCTATCGTCTCCCCATGCTGAGTCACACAGATTAACTACACAGAGACCCTGATTTTCCCTATCGTCTCCCCATGCTGAGTCACACAGATTAACTACACAGAGACCCTGATTTTCCCTATTGTCTCCCCATGCTGAGTCACACAGATAACTACACAGAGACCCTGATTTTCCCTATCGTCTCCCCATGCTGAGTCACACAGATAACTACACAGAGACCCTGATTTTCCCTATCGTCTCCCCATGCTGAGTCACACAGATAACTACACAGAGACCCTGATTTTCCCTATCGTCTCACCATGCTGAGTCACACAGATAACTACACAGAGACCCTGATTTTCCCTATCGTCTCCCCATGCTGAGTCACACAGATAACTACACAGAGACCCTGATTTTCCCTATCGTCTCCCCATGCTGAGTCACAGAGATTAACTACACAGAGACCCTGATTTTCCCTATCGTCTCCCCATGCTGAGTCACACAGATAACTACACAGAGACCCTGATTTTCCCTATCGTCTCCCCATGCTGAGTCACAGAGATTAACTACACAGAGACCCTGATTTTCCCTATCGTCTCCCCATGCTGAGTCACACAGATAACTACACAGAGACCCTGATTTTCCCTATCGTCTCCCCATGCTGAGTCACACAGATAACTACACAGAGACCCTGATTTTCCCTATCGTCTCCCCATGCTGAGTCACACAGATAACTACACAGAGACCCTGATTTTCCCTATCGTCTCCCCATGCTGAGTCACACAGATAACTACACAGAGACCCTGATTTTCCCTATCATCTCCCCATGCTGAGTCACAGAGATTAACTACACAGAGACCCTGATTTTCCCTATCGTCTCCCCATGCTGAGTCACACAGATAACTACACAGAGACCCTGATTTTCCCTATCGTCTCCCCATGCTGAGTCACACAGATAACTACACAGAGACCCTGATTTTCCCTATCGTCTCCCCATGCTGAGTCACACAGATAACTACACAGAGACCCTGATTTTCCCTATCGTCTCCCCATGCTGAGTCACAGAGATTAACTACACAGAGACCCTGATTTTCCCTATCGTCTCCCCATGCTGAGTCACACAGATTAACTACACAGAGACCCTGATTTTCCCTATCGTCTCCCCATGCTGAGTCACACAGATAACTACACAGAGACCCTGATTTTCCCTATCGTCTCCCCATGCTGAGTCACACAGATAACTACACAGAGACCCTGATTTTCCCTATCGTCTCCCCATGCTGAGTCACACAGATAACTACACAGAGACCCTGATTTTCCCTATCGTCTCCCCATGCTGAGTCACACAGATAACTACACAGAGACCCTGATTTTCCCTATCGTCTCCCCATGCTGAGTCACACAGATAACTACACAGAGACCCTGATTTTCCCTATCGTCTCCCCATGCTGAGTCACAGAGATTAACTACACAGAGACCCTGATTTTCCCTATCGTCTCCCCATGCTGAGTCACACAGATTAACTACACAGAGACCCTGATTTTCCCTATCGTCTCCCCATGCTGAGTCACAGAGATTAACTACACAGAGACCCTGATTTTCCCTATCGTCTCCCCATGCTGAGTCACAGAGATTAACTACACAGAGACCCTGATTTTCCCTATCATCTCCCCATGCTGAGTCACACAGATAACTACACAGAGACCCTGATTTTCCCTATCGTCTCCCCATGCTGAGTCACACAGATAACTACACAGAGACCCTGATTTTCCCTATCGTCTCCCCATGCTGAGTCACACAGATTAACTACACAGAGACCCTGATTTTCCCTATCGTCTCCCCATGCTGAGTCACACAGATTAACTACACAGAGACCCTGATTTTCCCTATCATCTCCCCATGCTGAGTCACACAGATTAACTACACAGAGACCCTGATTTTCCCTATCGTCTCCCCATGCTGAGTCACACAGATAACTACACAGAGACCCTGATTTTCCCTATCGTCTCCCCATGCTGAGTCACAGAGATTAACTACACAGAGACCCTGATTTTCCCTATCGTCTCCCCATGCTGAGTCACACAGATTAACTACACAGAGACCCTGATTTTCCCTATCGTCTCCCCATGCTGAGTCACAGAGATTAACTACACAGAGACCCTGATTTTCCCTATCGTCTCCCCATGCTGAGTCACACAGATAACTACACAGAGACCCTGATTTTCCCTATCGTCTCCCCATGCTGAGTCACACAGATAACTACACAGAGACCCTGATTTTCCCTATCGTCTCCCCATGCTGAGTCACACAGATAACTACACAGAGACCCTGATTTTCCCTATCGTCTCCCCATGCTGAGTCACAGAGATTAACTACACAGAGACCCTGATTTTCCCTATCGTCTCCCCATGCTGAGTCACACAGATTAACTACACAGAGACCCTGATTTTCCCTATCGTCTCCCCATGCTGAGTCACAGAGATTAACTACACAGAGACCCTGATTTTCCCTATCGTCTCCCCATGCTGAGTCACACAGATAACTACACAGAGACCCTGATTTTCCCTATCGTCTCCCCATGCTGAGTCACACAGATAACTACACAGAGACCCTGATTTTCCCTATCGTCTCCCCATGCTGAGTCACACAGATAACTACACAGAGACCCTGATTTTCCCTATCGTCTCCCCATGCTGAGTCACACAGATAACTACACAGAGACCCTGATTTTCCCTATCGTCTCCCCATGCTGAGTCACACAGATAACTACACAGAGACCCTGATTTTCCCTATCGTCTCCCCATGCTGAGTCACACAGATAACTGCACAGAGACCCTGATTTTCCCTATCGTCTCCCCATGCTGAGTCACACAGATAACTACACAGAGACCCTGATTTTCCCTATCGTCTCCCCATGCTGAGTCACACAGATAACTACACAGAGACCCTGATTTTCCCTATCGTCTCCCCATGCTGAGTCACACAGATAACTACACAGAGACCCTGATTTTCCCTATCGTCTCCCCATGCTGAGTCACACAGATAACTACACAGAGACCCTGATTTTCCCTATCGTCTCCCCATGCTGAGTCACACAGATAACTACACAGAGACCCTGATTTTCCCTATCGTCTCCCCATGCTGAGTCACACAGATAACTACACAGAGACCCTGATTTTCCCTATCGTCTCCCCATGCTGAGTCACAGAGATTAACTACACAGAGACCCTGATTTTCCCTATCGTCTCCCCATGCTGAGTCACACAGATTAACTACACAGAGACCCCGATTTTCCCTATCATCTCCCCATGTTGAGTCACACAGATAACTACACAGAGACCCTGATTTTCCCTATCGTCTCCCCATGGTGAGTCACACAGATAACTACACAGAGACCCTGATTTTCCCTATCATCTCCCCATGCTGAGTCACAGAGATTAACTACACAGAGACCCTGATTTTCCCTATGGTCTCCCCATGCTGAGTCACACAGATTAACTACACAGAGACCCTGATTTTCCCTATCGTCTCCCCATGCTGAGTCACACAGATAACTACACAGAGACCCTGATTTTCCCTATCGTCTCCCCATACTGAGTCACACAGATAACTACACAGAGACCCTGATTTTCCCTATCGTCTCCCCATGCTGAGTCACACAGATAACTACACAGAGACCCTGATTTTCCCTATCGTCTCCCCATGCTGAGTCACACAGATAACTACACAGAGACCCTGATTTTCCCTATCGTCTCCCCATGCTGAGTCACACAGATAACTACACAGAGACCCTGATTTTCCCTATCGTCTCCCCATGCTGAGTCACACAGATTAACTACACAGAGACCCTGATTTTCCCTATCGTCTCCCCATGCTGAGTCACAGAGATTAACTACACAGAGACCCTGATTTTCCCTATCGTCTCCCCATGCTGAGTCACAGAGATTAACTACACAGAGACCCTGATTTTCCCTATCGTCTCCCCATGCTGAGTCACACAGATAACTACACAGAGACCCTGATTTTCCCTATCGTCTCCCCATGCTGAGTCACAGAGATTAACTACACAGAGACCCTGATTTTCCCTATCGTCTCCCCATGCTGAGTCACACAGATAACTACACAGAGACCCTGATTTTCCCTATCGTCTCCCCATGCTGAGTCACACAGATAACTACACAGAGACCCTGATTTTCCCTATCGTCTCCCCATGCTGAGTCACACAGATAACTACACAGAGACCCTGATTTTCCCTATCATCTCCCTTGTGTTTTGTTTTTCAGTTTCTTCCCTTGAACAAGTCTCCTTCTATTCCCAGGGGCCCCCTGTCCTCATGCTGTTTCCTGACTCCCCAGATGCCCTCTGTGCGCCTTGTCCCATCTCTCTGTGCCCCTCACGGGGTATTGCCCAATGGCTCAGCAGATAATGCTAAACCAACCTGTGCTTTGTAGAGCTTCATAAATGTGCAACCTTGCTCAATTGTATGGTGCTTATGGCCCAAGTGAACATTTTTAGGAACCTCCTTACATTCGTATGGTATGTTTCTACCACCCCGTCTGGGAATGATCTGTAAGACAGAGTAGATAATATTCTTTATCTAGCATCCTCCCCCATGTACAGCATAGGTGCACCTGCTCACACACCTCGCAAGAACACTTAACTATAGGCCATAGGAAAACTTTAATTCATAGAAATATAGATACGTATTATAAAGATTCCATGTGTTGATTACATGTAGACAATAACATGCCCATAAATCACGTCTCCATTTTGAAGTGACCTAGCAGCACTGCTCAAGATCATCAACCGACAGAGTCTTCCTTGTCCTTGGTACCTTATCCACAGGCCTCTGATCTGCTCCATGACTTACGCATCCTACTCTTCACATCTTCTGAAAATGTTTTGCTGATGGTCCCCTGGAGCTCATGCTCAATTGTCCTTTGTCTGTGAATGTTGTTTCCTCACTTTCCTAAAGTTAGGCAGGAGCAAAAAGCACTTTAATCTTAGGCTAGAAAATAACTAAATGCCTACTACCTCATTTTTTCTTCTCTTTGCATCCCAAAACCAGACAGACAGAAACCCAGCCTACAGATTATGTGTTCTTTTCTTTGTTTCTTTTCTTTTAAGTTTGTTGTTCAAACCCAATGTCACTGCTCCCACTTGCAATCTGCCCAGCACTATTTTACCAGAAAATTCCTTACGTGTAGATTGATAAAGACATTGTGGCCGGGCGCGGTGGCTCACGCCTGTAATCCCAGCACTTTGGGTGGCCGAGGCAGGCGGATCACCTGAGATTGGGAGTTCGAGACCAGCCTGACCAACATGGAGAACCCCCGTCTCTACTAAAAATACAAAATTAGCCAGGGTTGGTGACACATGCCTGTAGTCCCAGCTACTCAGGAGGCTGAGGCAGGAGAATCGCTTGAACCCGGGAGGCAGAGGTTGCAGTGAGCCAAGATCACGCCATTGCACCGGAGCCTGGGCGACAGAGCGAAACTCTGTCTCAAAAAAAAGAAGACATTGTGCTATTCTCCCCAATAAATTCCTGTTATTCTAACAAGGGCTTTCTTGAAATACATACCTTGAAACATGGAGGAGTGTCACTAATGGTGGAAATTAGATATCACTTCCAGATAATGGGGGGATGTTAGCTATCAGTTCCAGATAATAGGGGGATGTTAGCTATCACTTCCAGATAATGGGGGGGATGTTAGATATCACTTCCAGATAATGGGTGGATGTTAGATATCACTTCCAGATAATGGGGTGACGTTAGATAACACTTCCAGATAATGGGGGATGTTAGATATTCACTTCCAGATAATGGGATGTTAGCTATCACTTCCAGATAATGGGGGGATGTTAGCTATCACTTCCAGATAATGGGGGGATGTTAGATATCACTTCCAGATAATGGGGGGATGTTAGATATCACTCCAGATAATGGGGGGGATGTTAGATAACACTTCCAGATAATGGGGAGATGTTAGATATTCACTTCCGGATAATGGGGGATGTCAGATAACACTTCCAGATAATGGGGGATGTTAGATATCACTTCCGGATAATGGGGGGATGTTAGATATCACTTCCAGATAATGGGCAGATGTTAGCCATCACTTCCAGATAATGGGGTGATGTTAGATAACACTTCCAGATAATGGGGGGATGTTAGATATTCACTTCTGGATAATGGGGGGATGTTAGCTATCACTTCCAGATAATGGGGGGATGTTAGATATCACTTCCAGATAATGGGGGGATGTTAGCTATCACTTCCAGATAATGGGGGGAAGTTAGATATTCACTTCCAGATAATGGGGGGATGTTAGCTATCACTTCCAGATAATGGGGGAAAGTTAGATATTCACTTCCAGATAATGGGTGGATGTTAGATATCACTTTCAGATAATGGTGGGGATTTTAGATATCACTTCCAGATAATGGAGGGATGTTAGATATCACTTCCAGAAAACGACCCCTCCAGTGAGGCTGCATCTAACCCTCCCCTGCCCAGCATCTAGCCATGGCTCCCTCTGAACCTTCACCTACAGAATTCTCCTGAATGGGAAATTTCTTGACACCTATTATAAAGATTCCACGTGTTGCATTACATGTAGACAAGAACATTCCCATAAATCACATCTCCATTTTTAAGTGACCTAGCAGCATTCTCTCTCTCTCTCTTATGTCCATAATATTTATTAAAGATAGCAACCATAGGCCGGGCGGGGTGGCTCACGCCTGTAATCCCAGCACTTTGGGATGCCAAGGTGGGCGGATCACGAGGTCAGGAGATCGAGACCATCCTGGCTAACACGGTAAAACCCCATCTCTACTAAAAATATAAAAAATTAGCCGGCGTGGTGGCGGGCGCCTGTAGTCCTAGCTACTCGGGAGGCTGAGGCAGGAGAATGGCGTGAACCTGGGAGGCGGGGCTTGCAGTGAGCCGAGACTGTGCCACCGCACTCCAGCCTGGGCGACAGAGCGAGTCTCTGTCTCAAAAAAAAAAAAAAAAAAAAAGATGGCAACCATATTCCTCTGTAACATCACATAATCATTTTGGTTGCTGTTGTGGTTTAAAATCCACTTTTATAACAATCCTTTAAACTAATATATAAATATTACCAATATATAAATATATAATATAAATAATATGATATAATATAACAATATCAAAGAGAGAGAGAGACGTCCCTCTGTATCCATGTGGAATTGGTTCCAGGACCTCCTGCTAATATCAAAATCCGTGGATGCTCAAGACCCTGATATAAAATGGCATAGTATTTGCATATAACCTATGCACATCCCCTTGTATATTTTAAATCATCCTTAAATTACTTATAATACCTAATACAATGTGAATGCTACGTAAATAGTTCTTATACTGCGTTGTTTAGGGAATACTGACCAAAAAGGTCTATAGATATTCAGTAAGGATGAATTCTTTTTTTTACAAACTGACATTATTAGCAAAGAAAATAAACTTTTTACACCAAAAAAGAGTATTTTTCACCACACAAATAAAAGATGGTATATATATGTGTGTGTATATATGGTATGTATATGTGTATATACACACACCATATATATACCAAATATATGCACCATAGATATACCAAATACATATATACACACACGCTATATATATGCACCATATAGATACACCATATATATTTATATTTATATTTATATATATATACATATATATATATGGTGAGGATATACAAATCCTTCCATATAAGGCTAGTCAGTAAATCTCAACAATTAAAAAGGTCATTTTCAATGGCCGATTAATCACAGAACAATTTAAAAACTATATAAAATTAAACCTACACACATATTAGAAATACAGTCCAATTCACTTATATACCCAACACACTTTAAAGTGGACACAGAAAAATGTTATTTACTGGCTTTAAAAAATATGTATTAAACTCATGTACTATTGTTTAAAGAGTACCCACAAAATTCTCACTTCAATGTTTCTTTGTAAAAGAAGTGGAAATCTATAATCCAAAGACCCTTTTCAAAAATGAGCTACTGATAAATGCAATGGATTTATAACTTCTGTAACATTTCATTCATGTTGTGAATTTTCTTGAGCATTATATTATAATTAACTTGCAGATGCAATTTTTAAAAAATATTTTTATCCTTGGTTGGTTGAATCCATGGATGCAGAACCCGTGGATATGGAGGGCCAACTGTATTTTTTTCACTACAGAATATGAACCTGTTAAATTTAATCGCTATTTGAGGCAGAGAGATACCTTCACACCTTCAAATCACACTGTGCAGGTGGCCACCTGACTTACCTATATGCTCAAGCACTACATAGAAAGTGCTTCTACTGAGAAGGCAACATAATGAATTCTAATATGAAAATGCACAGCCACTTAATTATAATAGTCATATTTATATTCGCCATATACCCTAAGAAAACTGACACAATAGAAATATAAACTGACATATTCCAGGGCCCCACACACGCTGGTCTTTGTATATTGTCAGTTTCACGGGAACAGCAGAAATGGATGAATAATGTAAAACTTTGCCATATTTTTTAAGAGCATGACGTAGAAGGATCGCGTAGTGCTTGTGTCTCTCGTGTCCAGTTAGGAAAACAAAACCAATTCTAAGCATTCCAAACACATTGGATTTGAACATTGGTTTTAAACGTCACAAAAAGCCAGGCAGGAACAACAAGGGGATGAGGCTCCCCAAAGACTGGTACCTGAGGAACTGCTGTTCGTAACTGCTGTTCGTAACTTCAGGATGCCACAACCACCCCATGAGCCAAAAACAACCCCAAAGAGCAATGGTGTAGCCCCAAGTCCACGCAGCTGTGGGCTGAGGAGGCTGGAGTCCTTCTTTAGCCACTGCCGGATGCAGTGAGCACTGCCACTGCCACTGCACAGGAAGCCAGGAGCTCACACTCCTGATACAGCAAGAGCCAGGGCCCAGGAGTACTGGTGGTTACAAAGCTGTCAGAGCAGCTGCTGCTGCTGCTGCCATTGGAACTGTGCCACCTTAGAGGGAACCCGGGCTTGCATCCACTTGTCACTGTGGTTACTGCTGCCAAGGGCACCACCAGGAAAAACAATGACTAAAAATATGGATTTGCTCTTTCTCCCACCTTCCCATTTCTTGCCAGTGCCTCCCATTATCAAAATCTTATTAAATACCAGTCAGAAGGCAGTGTGGAAAATGTAGCTTGCAGATATCCAGTCCCCTGTGATACAGAAAAGAGCACAGAATGGGGGTGCGCACCGACAGACAAATCACTGACCTGGCGCTGTGGGTGTGGAGCTCTGTAAGTAGACAGCTCTGTAAGAAGCCTGCCTGGACACAGGTCCCTCTCCCCAGATTCCAGCTCATCTCACTACCAGATGCTCTTTCTATTTCTGTGCTCCTTACTCTTCCCTCTCTCTCCTCTCTCTCTCTTTTTGCTACCATTCCCTATCCCTGAATCCACCTAGATTTCCACTCTTTTTTTTTTGAGACAGAGTCACTCTGTCGCCCAGGCTGGAGTGCAGTGGCACTATCTCGGCTCATTGCAAGCTCTGCCTCCCGGGTTCAAGCAATTCTCCTGCCTCAGCCTCCCGAGTGTAACTGGGATTACAGGTGCCCGCCACCAGGCCCGGCTAATTTTTTGTATTTTCAGTAGAGATGGTGTTTCACCGTGTTAGCCAGGATGGTCTCAATCTCCTGACCTCGTGATCCGCCCGCCTCAGCCTCCCAAAGTGCTGGGATTACAGGCGTGAGCCACCGTGCCAGGCTGGATTTCCACTCTTGTTCAGGAACTATGTCAACCACTCTAAGACACCTGGAGGGCCCAATGGTCACTTGCCACATTTTCTCTTACTCCATTGTCAGGAAAGTATGTGGATCCTCATAGAAACTGTAGGTTTTTTACTTTATCCGGTTGGTTCCCTCACAAGAAATCCACCTTATTATAGTAAGAAAACTGGAATTGGAGATCAAAGACTGGCTCTAGTATCATATCCACTGATCATGTGTAATATTAACTTGGGAAAATCTTTTCATATTTTGAGCATCAGTTTCTTTATGTGTAAGATCAAGGAGTTGACTGAGATCTAAATTTTTTTCCCACTCAATGTTATGAGGGTTTGTAAAATTCAGTTGTTTAAAATACCTGATTACTGTCTCATTAATTTTAAAAAAACTTTTCACAACTAAGTCTATAATGAGGTATTGCTCCTCACCCTTGAGGGCATTAGCTGCGGGGGTCTGCCCATGGACCCTGACCCAAACGACAGGCGAATAAAACGTACACTGACACAGATATTCTGCTTTGCCAGTCCTGCTGAGTGTCCGACCGCCTGCACACCAAGAGTGGTTTGTCACTGTGGCTGGCCCTGAGCAGCTCGCACTCCAGGCATTTATTTGGTATACAATTAACAACAGAAGCTCTGAGTCAACACACTTGTGGATAATTAACATGGTTAAGAGAGTAGTTCTAGGAATGATTAAAGCTCAGGTACCAAGGTCTAAGGTAAATACCATTAGGGGACAATATCCCTAGTCAACCTCCCCACAAGTGGGCCATCTGGCTCAAAGGTTAGTTATTGGAGGTAGGGTAAACAGACTTAAGTGGGGAAGCCTCTGTTGTCCCTAGTATTTACCCTAAGACCTAATGCTCTAAGGTAAGAACCGGCTGCCTCAGCCTGTTCAATTATTACAAGCTATGTAAACTTTCAGCCTTCCAAAAGGTTTGTGACTATTCCCTATAACTTTCCCTAGTATTTCCCTTTAATATTTCTGCCACCATCTGAGTGAATCCCAACACTACAACATATAAGAAGAAAAAAAAACAGAGACCGAGGCCAAGAATAAAAACTATAAACCCATCATATGATCAAATACATTTTTAGAGTCCAAACCATGGTGCAGAATATCCTGAGTTTCCTCATGTTCTCTCTCGCTCCACTGAAAGTCTACTGTTACGGCCACAGAGGACCCGTCTCTCTGGGCTCCCACATTCTTTCCTCCCTACCTTACAGTTCCTAAGTCTCTTTGGCCTTTTACCCTTACCATAAGATTTCACGTTTTTCTTTTTCTGTCCATCTCAGAAGGGTTGTCCTTCAGTTTCACCTGGGCTTCCCCTTGGAAGGCCTAGTGAATGGTCTCAGGTGATTGTGTCCGGAGGATAAGGGGAGTATGACAGCCACCTGCCCTTTCTTTTAGGGCTTACAGGAACACATCTACCAAGCAAGGGACTTCTTGCCAATGTGGAACATACCTTATAGCACAACCTCAGGGCATTATTATTTCTCTGGCTCTTTCCTCATCTTTTCAAAAACTTTATGTATTAGCTTACATTTCTATGACTCATGATGCGAAAGAACAGGTCATGTTAGAAGAGGAAAAGGGTGAGAAGAAATTCTGACCTACCTCAGTACACAAGGTGAATAGGATTAACTACATCATAAATTGTAAAAGTAAGAACAATAGACGTCGAAAGTTTTCTTTCTAAATGCATAGCACAAGTAAGGGGCTGGGAGAACAAATGTAGCTTCCTTAACTCTGTGGCCTGGAAGCCGCACGTTTCAGCACACATGCTTATGTCATTCTTTTCTCTTGATGGTAAATGAATGCTTCAATAAAATATATAACTCAAGGGAGTTGAGAAAAGGAAATTAAGACTGTTAGAAAAGGACATTAATATTTACTGGTAACACTGAAATCAGAATTATATATTAAAATGAAGTTTCTAAACTAGTTTCCATATTTGACTAGAACAAAAACAGCTTCTTTGCAAGACAATACCACACATTTCCAGAGCTCGTCCAGGATTCGTAACAGCTGCATGTTTTGTTGTTTAGAATCAGTATTTTGGTCACTGCGTAAATCAATACTTTAAAAAATTGTTTCTATTAAGCAACATAATAAAACAAATGCTCATTTTTTTTTGCATATCCAAAGGCCTTGAGGAATTTTAAGCAAAAATAGAAGGAAGGAAAATTATAATAAACAATGGCAATATGTTCATTTCACATATTTTGAGGTCCACCTGTTTAAATGTTTCTAAAGCCATTAAACACATCTGTTATTTTTTTCCCTTAGATAAACAAATTATATGAAAAAGTAAATATACGGTTTCTAAAGCCAGTTCAGATGGGATTTTGGGGCACTTTACCTCCCTGTGTGCTTCATTTTCATCCTCTATAAGAATAGGTTTCTCTCATTTACCTCTCTGAGTCCTGTGAAGTGTTCTTGGTCCATGTAATGCAAGGACAAGGCACAGAGCCATCCCCCAGTTGATAATGGGCGTGATCATTAGAGCGGGAGCAGCAGGTGGGGGTGGTTCTCCGTGCGGGCATTCATGCATATTTCCTCTTTTCATATCTTCAGTCTTGTGGAGTCTCAACAGGCTGCAGCTTCTCTCACTAGAATATTCAAAAGAGCATTTAAAATTAGGAGATGGTCTCTAACGTGCCTTGTAGCTCTAATATTCTGGGAATCTTTGAGGCTGTATCCTATACATTGTTATTTTTGTTTTATTTCTATATAACTATTACCTGCCTTCTACCTGTAAAGATATTCCACAATCAGGAACACATCGCTTTTTTAGGTATAAAGCAAGACTCCTGAATGGCATTCTTGCATTAGCATTTATAAGCGTCACCTTGATACTAATCGCGTTAAACTTCTGTGGGGAACGTTCTATTTAATATCACTGTATCATCTACATGGGACTCTGTTCTATGGGCAGCTTCTCTTCTGAAGAAGACATTGCAGAGCAGTTCTCATTATTTCACTTTGTCCCTCCCCTCAAGAAAGAAGACCTGGCCCGGCATAGTGGCTCACGCCTATAATCCTAGCATTTTGGGAGGCCATGGCAGGCGGATTACTTGAGGCCAGGAGTTCAAAACCAGCCTGGCCAACATGATGAAACCCCGCTCTGCTAAAAATACAAAAGAAATTAGCCGGGCATGGCGGCGGGCACCTGTAATCCCAGCTACTTAGGAGGCCGAGGCAGGAGAATCACTTGAACCCAGGAGGCGGAAGTTGCAGTGAGCCGAGATGGCGCCACTGCACTCCAGCCTGGACAACAGAGGGAGATTACGTCTCAAAAAAAAAAAAAAAGACCTACTCTAACCAGCATTAGTGAGAAATGGGTATTTTACCGAATATATCTTAAAGAAACATGAATGATAGCGAATGATAGAAGGGTACAACACTAATAACACAGCAATTCACCTCCCTTCAAAAATAAAACTACCCTTTAGATATTATATCGGTCTGGACCCTCTGAGAAGCTGATATAAGCACAGGATTACACATGCAAGGATGTTATTAAGAAAACTACTGCAAAAGGAAAACGGTGAAGGAGCCAGAGGGGTCTGCGAGAAAACATCTTAGGCTGCTTTCCAGTCTATGGAAGGTTCAGCAAAGCTACTGGAAGTCCACGAGTCAACCTCAGGCATCAGAGGAGCTCATGGCTCCCAGGACAGGCATCCCTGCTTCCAATTCAGTCATTGGCTGGAGAGCAGCCCATGGGAATGTGGTTACAGCACAAGTGCACGATGGATTTTAGCTCAGTGGCCAGGCTCTTGGTCACTAACTCCTCTGTCAGTGGAGATCTGCAGGGTGTAGTCTCTTGGCCAAATCTCTCTTCCCAAACTCTGTTCTGGTATCCACTGCAAATTCCACCCACTGTCCCACTGAACTGCCCTTTAGTCTAGTATTTCAAACATCACACACTCAAGAATTCTCCCTTCAGAGCTTTTCTGTTTTCTTTTCTTTTCTTTTCTTTTTCTTTCTTTCTTTCTTTTTTTTTTTTTTTTTTTTTTTTTTGACAGAGTCTCGCTCTATCACCCAGGCTGGAGTGCAGTGGCACCATCTCAGCTCACGGCAACTTCTGCCTCCCGGGTTCAAGTGATTCTCCTGCCTCAGCCTCCCGAGTAGCTGGGATTGCAGGTGCCCGCCACCACGCCCAGCTAATTTTTGTATTTTTAGTAGAGATGGGGTTTCACCATGTTGGTCAGTCTGGTCTCGAACTCCTGACCTCACTATCTGCCCGCCTCGACCTCCCAAAGTGCTAGGATTACATGCATGAGCCACTGCGCCCAGACCCCTTCAGAGCTTTTCTACACCTCTTCCTTTCTCTTGTCTCTTCTACAGGCTTATCCAAAGTTGCATCATCCATCATTATTCTCGGGCATATTAAAGCCGTGACTTTGCTTGCCCTCAGGAAATTAAACATCTGTCAGTCACCAGGAGTCACAATCCACAGAAGACAGTGAGTAGGAGGATGCCACAGAACCCATCGTGTTTCCTGCCGTATTAAAGCAGGGCTGTGCTGTCATCAGCCTGCGATGTGCCATTTATTATGCAGCACCCCATCATCTGGCTTCTGTCTCAACCAACATACTGAAACTGCTTCATAAAGTCATCAGTGTATTTTTAATTGCCAAGTTGATTGGACATTTCACAGCCATTATTCCTGACTTTTATAAGCATTTGACATGACTGATCATTCATTTCTTGAAATTCTGTTTTTTCCAGACGGCCGTGATAAACACTCTGAACATTGTTCTTGCGCTTTCACGGCTATCCCATTTCTTTTTTTTCTAATGCCTTTTGTTCCTCCCCATTCCTTGAGTATGGGTGTTCCCCAGACCTGTTGCTTCAGTCGTGTGGTCTAAATACATACTTTCCCTAGGAACTGTATTCTCTAATGTAGAAGAATAATGTTCCTTTACTTATGTATGTTGTATTGATCAAGCTTTTAGTATGACAACATATACTATATTAAGTTCTGAGGATAATATCACAGGGAAAAATCTCTGGCTTTAAGGAATATATTGTCCAATGGGAGAAACATAAAAGCAAGCAAGCAATTACAAGGCAATGAACTACTGTGATGATGGGGATGTACAGGGTTCAGGGCACACACAGGAGGATAGCTAACTTACACTTGGGAAATTAGAGAAGATTCTCATAGGAAAAAAATCACCAATGTGTCATCATAATAATAACAGAAGCAGTAGGGCATTCCAAGCCAAGACAGCACTGTGCTTGAGGAGCTGTAATTCAGCTACATAGTTCAGTAGATCAGCTATTGAATCAAGGACAATAGGAGAGGTTGGGTCACACAGATGCTGAACAATCAACCTACTGGGATGAAGGACATTGTGTGCACCACTGCAGCCTTTGGTTCTCACGCCGACAGCCCTGAGGATTCACAGACTTCAAAGAAGAGCATGACTTAATGTTTCAGAAGGTTTTTGGAAGCTCACTCCATACAAAAGAAGGATTAGAAGTAGGATATACAGTTAGCAATCAGCACCCACGGGCTCTGCATCCATGGGTTCAACCACGTGCAGATTGAAAAGGCAGTTAGGCCTATGATCATTGCATCTCTACTGAAAAATGTACAGACTTGATGTTATTCCCCAAACGATACAGTAAAACAACTGTTTCCATAGCATTTACATCACGTTAGGTATTATAGGCAGTCTAGAGATGGTTTAAGTACACGGAGTATGTGTGTCAGTGACATGCAAACAAGACACCGTTTTGTATAAGGGACTTGAGCATCTGTGGATTTTGGTAAAAAAATTCATGGGGTTCCTGGAAGCAATCCCTAGCAGATACCAAGGGATGACTGAATTTGAGATAAGAACAATATCTAAGAACTCTCCAGCTCAGTTTGATAAAATATTACTTAAGCCTACTATGTACCAAGCACTTTAAAGTGCTGAGTGTTAAAGGCTTGCTTAAGAGTAATGTGTATAGTAAAATCCCATTAAATCAAAGCCAAACATCAAAGAAAAACAAAAAAGAACTCTAATGTTCTTTTAAGTATGTGTGTAACCTATGTTTATACATGTAGTATTATTCTGGAGTAAACTACTGTAACTGGGCTGGGTGTGGTGGCTCGGGCCCATAATCCTGGCACGTTGGGAGGCCAGGGCGGGTGGATCACGAAGTCAAGAGATCGAGACCATCCTGGCCAACATGGTGAAACCTGGTCTCTACTAAAAACACAAAAATTATCTGTGTGTGGTGGTGCACGCCTGTAGTCCCAGCTACTCGGGAGGCTGAGGCAGGAGAATCGCTTGAACCTGGGAGGTGGAGGTTGCAGTGAGCTGAGATTGTGCTGTTGCACTCCAGCCTGGGTGACAGAGTGAGACTCCATCTCAAAAAAAAAAACTGCGTAACTCAGTTACCCAAACCAAAAATGCTTCACTCTTTAGTTTCCTCTTCCTCATATCCAGTTATCCCATCTGTTCCAATTCTAAAGGAGCCCTTGTATACGCTTATTTTTCTATCTGCATTGCCACCGTCCCAATCTACACCACCACCACCTCTTGCCTAACCTCTGCCATTAGTGTCTTAACTTGCTCTTGGGTTTCTATGCTTCTTCCCCTATGAGCTCTTCTCCACCTGGCAGACAGAATAATCTTCATGTGAGTGAGTCCGACTGTATCATTCCGCACCTGAAATCCTCCAATGACTTCTCACTGCATTTAAGATGAAGTGAAACTCTGTCCCACGCCCTATAAGGCCTCATGTAATCTGACCCTGCACACTTCTTTACTCTCTTCTTATGCTGTTCTGCTCCACCCACTTCTCCAACTATATGCACTCAATGATTCAGCAGTTTTTAGAATAGGCTGTGATATTCTCACATATTTCTATCTATAAGATACATACTTTTCACCGCCTCCACCGTTCCACCCTGATCCATAACACCACCATTTCGTGACTGGCTACTCAATTTCTTATCTGGGCTTCCTGCTTCTGTTTTTCCGTACAGCAGCCAAAGTGACTCTGTCAAAATGTAAACCAAATTATGTTGCTCTCCTGCTAAAATCCTTCAATAGCATCTCATCACATTTAAAATAAAATTCAATACCCTGACCCTAATTAACCAAACCTCACATACCTAACTGGCTCCTCCCTAGCCTCCGCTTCCTCCTGTGGCCCCCATTCCACCTCGCCACAGCCACCTGGACTCCCCACTGTTCTTCCAACATAGCAATGCACCTAAGATCCCCACTGCTCCCCTGCCAGGAGCCCTCTGTCCCGAGACATCTTTGGGGCTCTTGCCTTCATGTCAATTTTCTATTCAAATAGCATCTCCTTAAAAAGACCTTCCCTGGCCACTCCCACATCCTTACACTTCCCCTAGTCACTACCTTTTTTTAAAAAAAAAGAACTTTATTGAGGCTGGGCGTGGTGGCTCTCGCCTGTAATCTCAGCACTTTGGGAGGCTGTGGCGGGCAGATCACTTGAGGACAGGAGATCAAGACCAGCTTGGCCAACATGGTAAAATCCCATCTCTACTAAAAATACAAAAATTAGCCAAGCGCAGTAACGCACACCTGTAGTACCAGCTACTTGGGAGGCGGAGGCAGGAGAATTGCTTGAACCAGGGAGGCAGAGGTTGCAGTGGGCCGAGATCATGCCACTGCACTCCAGCCTGGGCAACAGAGCAAGACACTGTCTCAAAAAGAAAAATAAAAAATAAAAAGACCTTTATTGAGATATAATTTACATATCATAAAATTCATCTAATTTTCAATTCAATGATTTTAGTATGATTCAGTGATTTTAGTAAACTTGCTTAGTCTGCAACCATCACCATAATCCAGTTTTAGAACATTTCCATCTTTCCAGTAAGTTCCCTCAGGCCAGTCAGCAGTGAATCCCCATTCCCTCTCTCAGCCCTGGGTAAATGAAACTGACCCAGTGGTCTCATAGATATTTTCTGATAAATATAGGAATTGACCCTTCTAATCTTAAAGCTTGAAACTTATATTTGTTTAATCTGAGTTCCTCCCTCAGAAAATGACCATCAGGTCTCTCAAAAAAAAGTATCAAACAACTGAAACTCACCAGATCATCACATCCAGACAATGAGATGCCAGACCCCTCATTCACCGTGATGGCTTCCTTGCGTCTCCCTAGTTCCTGTTTTCTTACACACAGTTGCATTTTTTTTCCCTGTTATATAAACTCCTGGTTTTAGCAGGTCAGGGAGGTGGATTTGAGAGTGAGTTTCCATCTCCTCAGCTGCAGCACCTGATTAAAGATTCTTCCTTGGCAATACTCGTCGTCTCAATCATTGGCTTTCTGTGCAGCGAGTAGCAGGACCTTGACCGAACCCCTGGTGTTTCGGTAACATAAACACTAATCTACCTTCTTTTTCCATAGATTTGCCTTTTCTAAACATCCCGTATGAACAGAATGGTTAAAATATGTGGTCTTTGAAACCTGTCTTCTTGATATATTATACTTAAAATAATGCGTTCAACTAATTCTATTGAACATTCACTCTATGCCATATATATAGTAATATTACATATATATAATCCCATGCTCTAGTGAGGAGAATAGAGTGAACAAATCATCATACAAACAATGTCAAATTTCATGGAAGTTTCATGATGCTCTGGGAGCATGGCTGGGAGTGGGGAAGGCTTGCCTGTGGAGCAGTATTTGACTGTGACTGAAGAATAGCAGTTAGCTAGGCAAAGGGCAAGTGTTTCAGATAGAGGGGTCAGGACATGCCTAATAATAGAAGGGAGTGTGTTTAACACGACTGCTGGAGAAAGTACTTGGCTGGAGCTCTGAGAGGGAAAGAAGGACGGTGGAGACAAGGCTTTCCCATCACTTTCTATCCCTGTATGTATGTTATTTCACTATTCTCTCAAAAGTTATCACTAGCTGACATTGCAGTGTGTATATACTGTTTGCATCCTTCATTACAACATAAACTTATTGAGAGTATAAACTTCGATTTGTTTTATTACTATTATTCCAATATTTAGAAGAGGGTTTGACATAATAAGCATTCAATAAATACTTGTTGAATGAAAAAATCGAATAAGAGATTGGGGAGCCCTAATAATTAACACATTAAGAATGCAGACATTTGTTAATTAGAATAAATTAAGTAGCTTCTGAGAGCCGTCTTACGCAACATCTTAATACAGCTAAGCTATGTTCAGATGAGAGGAATTCGGTGAAATAATGAATTTGGGGGGGAAATACTAGCAGATTTACTTTTTAACTAATAATAGACTGGAAATATTTAAAGTATAATGAACTACTTAACATTGTTATATGTTAATAACTTCTTTAAATTGATCAATGATTTTTATTAGTGATATCTTTTGAATACTAATTTCATTCTTTTTTGACCTCATAGATTAATTTCATAAATGCAATCAGCTGAATGTAACTTAATAAAGATGTGGCTTCCAACATTTAAATGTTGTCAGGAAGAAAAACAATGACTTTCTTAGTTATTTTCATAAAACAAGATGACTTTCTGTGGAGTAATTCTCATAAGAGAGTAAGTACAGGGTGAATAAAATATGCTAGAAACATGTATCTATTTCAAAAGTATATTTAAATAGGATTTTTTTAATAATAAGCCACATTTTAGGTCCATGGATTTCAATACACTTTTTCTTTAGAAAAAAAATCAAATTTTTATGACTTCATTTAGTTTTAATAAAAATATTTTATTTAATAAAATTATATTGTATAAGGTCATTCATACTATATTGATGATTGCTCCAATTATGAAACCTAGCCAAATTTAGACAGGTTTCAAATAAATCAGTGCTTTTAAAAAAGTAAGCCCCAATTGTACATTGTGTTATAAACTGAAAGTCTTATGTTATGGAAACAAAGATGTTACTTCTCAAAAACAATGTAATTATCATTTCAAGGTGGCAAGTCAATCTAGAAATCAGATTCCATTGAGATGCTGTAAAAGTTCTGTTTATCACAAAATAAGTCAACAGATTCAAAATCGTCTCTAAACAACAGATCGATAAAAATGCCTAAAAATATCATTTAATTTATTCCAAAGTATTTCCTGAGGACATTCTTTTCAGGAAAGGCTGCTTGCTTTAGGATTCCAAACAAACGAAGCCCAGAAGCTTCCCGGAAAGCCCTGAAGGTGCTCCTGGAAGAATGTGCTCTCTGCAGCTGTGTAAACAATGATGTTGACGCAGAATTGGAAATGCCCATTTTTGAAAGGGACCTGCAACCAACCATTTGAAACCAGCACGTTGCCTGATATTCCCACTAAATGTCTAATCAGTAAATGTTAGTAAGAAAAATATTTTCCTCCAAAGGACAAGTTAGAGCTTTGTATAGTGTCAGTAGTTAAAAGTTTTTCTGTATAACCACAAATCATATCGTCCCCAACTATCAAATCTACTTTTACCCCTTAGGGTCATTCAGGAAGAAAAATAAGCTCACCTTGGGGACGGACTAGTCACTGGAGGTAAAGAAGAGAATGGAATCTAGGGTGGCTCTTAGACTTACAGCTTGTATTTATATGAGACTGCGCATGGTAAATAAGGTTTTAAGTGGCATGTGTTATAGTTGTCAAATTTGTAGAAACATACACATTGATGCATTATAATTATTCTGCCTTTAAACAAAGTGCTTAATACCACATTTAAATTGCAAATGTTGACTTCAATCGAATCTCCTGATGTTAATAAAATATTAGAAACTCTATCAAATATAATTCTTATGATTATGATAATACAGTTTTTTAGAGGCCAAATTTTCTTCAGTTCCAAGAATCCTACAGCACGTGTATGAGGAATATTTCTATCTTAATAGATACCTTTGTGTCCAGCAGTAGAAAAGTATCCACATGCCACTTTGCAGTAAGTATAAAATAAAAATATAAAGATGCAAACACTTCACACAATGCAATGTCCTTCCTTGATTTTTTGTGAAGAAAACTATACATGTGTTTGTGGACTAGCTGTGTATATAATCAGGTCCTAATATTAACAGAAAACAAAAGAACTGAGGTGCAAACAGGGAAAAGGGAAAACAGACAATGCAAGAAAAAGTTGAGGATGACAGAAGCAGGGAAGGCTGTCCAAAGTGACACAAAAGTGATAGCATGGCTCAGTGAGAATGCTGAGAACTTCAGACTTTAAAAACAGAGAAAGCCTCTTCTGGAAGTATACAACTTGAGTATCTCTGAGAGTGTGTGGGTGAATGTGTTTGTGTGTCATGATAGTGAATGAGGAGAGTTCACACACAAAAATTTGAAATTAATTGTTCCTAAAGTATGTATTAGCCTGCTATTGCTGCCATAATAAATTAACACAACACCTATTTATTATCTCATAGGTTCCATGAGTTGGAAGTCTGAGTACAGCATGGCTTGACTGGGTTCTCTATATAGGGGCACACAAGGTGCAAGTCAAGCTGTCAGCTGGCCTGGGCTCTTCTTTGGAGCCTCTGAGGGAGAACCTGCTTCCAGGCTCATTTAGATTGTTGGCAGAATTCAGCTCCATGTTGCTACAGGAGTGAGTGTTCTCATGATTTTGCCAGCTATTGGCTCAGCTTTTGAAGGCACCCATATTCTGTGGCTTTTGGCCCCCTTTATCTTAAATGCCAGTAATGACATCTCCAACCTTTTCACTTATAATCTCTGATTTTCTCTTCTACCCTCCTCTTCCGACGTTTAAAGAGCTCATGAGATTAGATCCAGCTCACCTGCATAATCTAGGTTAATCTCCCTATCTTAAAGTCAACTGAGGAGTAACATTAATTACATCTGCAAAGCCTGTTTGCCATGTAACATAACAGGATGTAACGCTAGGTGGCTGAGATCACGACGACCAAAGTTCTGCCTACCACAAGGTAGCAATACAATATGTTAAAGATAAATCAGCATGTTGGTCAAAGGATGCAAAATGCCATCTAGACAGTAGGGACAGGTCTAAGAGATCTATTGTACCCCATGGTGATATACTTTAAAATTGCTGAAAGAGTAGGCTTTAAGTGGTCTCACCACAGATAAAAAAATAAGTATGTGTTTAGCTAGATTTATCCATTTCACAATATATATGTATTTCAAAACCTCATGTTAGGCCAGGTGCAGCGGTTCACATCTGTAATCCCAGGGCTTTTGGGAGGCCAAGGCAGGAGGATTGCTGAGCCCAGGAGTTTGAGACCAGCCTGGGAAATATAGGGAGACTTCTATAAGAGGGCTCTACAAATAAATAAATAATTCAGGCACGGTGGTGCATGCCTGGATGGCCCCAGCTACTTGGAAGGTTGAGACAGGAGAATCGCTTAAGCCCAGCAAGCAGAGGCTGCAGTGAGCGGAGATCATGCCACTGCACTCCAGCCTCATTGACAGAGCAAGACTCTGTCTCAAAATAAAAAAAAAAAAAAGGAAAAACCACACACTGTGTTGAATGCCATAAATGATACAATTATTTGTCAATTGCAGTAAATAAAGCACATATGTATTAAAAAAAGGCAAATCAACAGTGCAAGAGAAGTGACTAAGAAGGGACACAAACATAGAGGCAAGGTAGGACAGTGAATAAGAAAGGGAAAAAGCAAGACTGACCTGGACTCAAGTGCTGCCTGGGCCACTTATTATCCATGGGACTCTGAGCAAGTTATGCAACTTCTGTGAGACAGTTTTCTCATGTATAAATAAAGAATAATGAGAACTATCTCACAGGACTATTGAACACCGAACAATAAAAGCTCAAGAAATAATAAATATTATATTGCTAGGTATGCCTTCTGGTTGCCTGACTGCTCTTCACTGGAGGCACAAAGCTATCTTTTACACTTTTGCTTATAATATTCAGAGAACTGAAGCATACTTTTATTTGACTTGGATTATCTGGATAAATTGTCTTAGATAGCTATTTGGTTTGAAACGTATAGAAAGAATCATTTTCTTACTTGTGGTTTTATTGTTTCCTAGTCTCCTAAGATCATGGTATGGTAAAAGATCAACTATAGATATGGGCAGCATGAAGTAGCAAATAAAAATTGACTTGGATAGATTTAGATTTCAGTTCTAGCATACAATTTTTTTCCCAGTATGTTTGTAAAACTGACTTATTTTCTGAGCCTCACACTTCATATCTTTAAGATGGAAATAACCAAGCCTCAGTGAGTGTAAAATCTGTTAATATATATAAAAGCATTTATAGTCTTAAAAGTGCTATAAAACACTGTTGTTATGATGTTGATAATGGTGGTGGCGATGGTACACCTTATCCATGTATCAATAGTTGGGACTAAAGAATACAATTTTTCTTCGGCGGGGGACAGAATTTCGCTCTTGTTGCCCAGGCTGGAGTGCAATGGCTCAATTGTGGCTCACTGCAACCTCTGCCTCCTGGGTTCTAGTGATTCTCCTGCCTCAGCCTCCCGAGTAGCTGGGATTACAGGCATGTGCCACCACTCATTTTGTATTTTTAGTAGAGACAGGGTTTCTCCATGTTGGTCAGGCTGGTCTCTAACTCCCGACCTCAGGTGATCCGCCCTCCTCAGCCTCCCAAAGTGCTGGGATTACAGGCATTAGCCACCGCACCTGGCCCAGAATACAATATTTAAATTGAAAAATTCACTGCATTTAAGAGCATACTCAAAACTGTGAAAGGAAAGATGGACATACTTGAAAATATTGCAACAGAAACTATCCAAACTGAAGCAAGGTGAGAAAAAAAGACTAAAAATAAGATACAAAATCAGTGAACAGTAGAAAAACAGCCAGCAATCTAACATACATGCAAGTAGAGTCCAAGAGAAAGCAAGAGCAGGATGGGGAGGAAGGAGGTAGGAAAATACTTAAAATAGCTAAACATTTTACTGGTTTAATGAAAGCTATACACTCACCAATCAGCTGACTAAAATCAGGACAAACCACAAAGAGAAGCACCACAAGCTATATAAAAATGAAACTACTGTAAACTAGTGATGAAGAAAAAACTTTAAAACAACTGGAGAAAAAATACATACTACACACAGGGGAACAAAAATGAGAATGACTGAAGCTTATCAGAAATGAAGCAAAAACAAGGTGTTAGAATTTTACTTTAAAAATTTAAAAACTGTCAACCTAGAACTGTAAATTCAGCAAACAGCAAAACCATCATTCAAAAATAAGGATAAACTTTTTAGAAAAAAAAAGCTGGGGTAATTTGTCAACAGCAGACTTACACTACAATAAATGCAGAAATAAGTTATTTATAATAAAAGAAAATAATATCAAATAGATACTTGGATTTAAAATATGCAAAAAAGATAGAACACAAGAATGCTACCTTGGGGGTAAATTCAATTTTTTTTCTCATTTAAAAAAATTATTTAGAATAAAATTAACAGTTTAAAACAAGAAGAAAATGTAATGTGAAATTTATAACATATGCAGAAATAAAATGCATGGTAATTCTCCAAAAAAGAGAAAAATGGACACATACTGTTTTAAGTTTCTTATATTATTTTCAAAATGGATAATATGATTTGAAGGTACATTGTGATAAATTAAAAATGGACAGGAGACAGAAAGTACACTGTTTAACGGTCTTATATGCAAAGTGGTAAAATATTATTTGAAAGTATATTGTTATGAGTTAAAGATTGTAAACCCATAAACAACATCTATAAAATAAAATAAAGAGCTGTAGCTAATAAGGCCATAGTGTGCAAACATTAAATAATATTCAATTAACATGGAAAAAGGTGGAAACCCAAAAGAAATAAGAAAAATATGGAACAAATAGAAAATGAATAGCAAGATGGTAGATTTAAACCCTACTATGCCCATAATTACATTAAAGGTAAATAGTCTAAATACTAAATTTTAAAACATAGACTGTTTTTTCATAGACACAACAACATTCCATCTAAAAGAAATTCACTTTAAAAGTAACAGGAAGAACAAAAATGTACTACATAAGTTCTAATAATAAGAAATCTACTGTGGGCATATTAAATCAGGAAAAAGAGGGATGCCAGGGTACAGAAAGCCATTTTATAATGGTGTTAATGCATCAAGAGGACACAAGAATCCTAAATGCAAGCATCACATAACAGCTTCAAAATATATGAGACAACATTTGATATAAATGAAAATAAAAATAGACAAATCCAAAATTATAGCTAGAGAGGGAAGAGAAGGCAGAAAAAAAAAGTTTATAAGAATTAATTTTTTTTATGCTTTCCAGCTTCCTTCTCGCATAAGTTTTCAAGATTTTGTAGTTCCATTGACGTACATGGTATCTCTTCTCAGAGCAGATCTTCAAGCCAAGAGCAACTTAGGCAGAGGTGATTCTGGCTACAAAGAGCTTTCAGGAGATTGGTGGGCTAGAATTTCTTAACTTTATCTCGGTTTGCCATACTAAATCTTAGGGTCCTTTTCCTTTACAGTCAGTTAGTTGCTCAGCCATTGCCAAACTGAATCGATGGAATTATGCATTTAACAGGTACTGAAACTACACAATCAATGCAATTAGTTTTGATGTTTTCTCCTTTGTGTAGCTGACTTCAGACATACAAGATATATTTTAACATCACCACAGTGGCTTTCTAATTTTCCACCTGCATCTTGAGTGGAGATTTTAAAACATAAAGCTTATCTTTTGGTTTTCCTTTCTGTATGTTTTCCAGCACAGCCAAAAGCAAGCCTTCTACCATATCATACAGTAGAAAGTAAAGAGAAATTAGACTATGTCTTCTCTGCTGCATTGCTCCTTTGCCATTGTTTTTCTGTGGACAGCTGCATTCCTCTGCAAATTCAGCTACTCCTGGATAGACTCTCACAATTCCAGCCTTATGGAACTTCAGTAATTCTATTTCCACATGCTGTCACTGCAGCTCTGAGTAGCTCAACATCCCCTGTGTCTTTCCTCAACCCTGCTTCACTTCTGTAAGTAGTCCCTCTATTACGTTCTGTTTATTTGAACTATTTGAGTGAATCCAGTCTCCTGTTGTAGCCATGACTGACAATCAGTTGGCATCAGGAGTTGGTATTCTCAAGATGGAATTTGCATCTGAGTCACTCATATATTAAATAAGTAAATAAATAACTTCCTTGTTGAGGAAGTCAGCACTGACAATTTGTGGCATGCAGTGACTTCTTTACTAGTCAGATTATTGGCGGAAGCAAGGAATGAGATGCGGATAGAGGGCGAGTCTTTGATGATGAAGGGGCTGTTGAGTTTGATAACTGGCCAGGCCAACAAAGGTGATTTAACAGCAGAATCTAGATAGGATGCTTTTGGAAGGATCATCCCTATGGTGTAGAGCAGAATAGAGAATTACAAGATATAAAATGTGAAAGGGCTGGGCACAGTGGCTCACGCCTGTAATCCCAGCACTTTGGGAGGCCTAGGCAGGCGGATCATGAGGTCAGGAGATTGAGACCATCCTGGCCATCATGGTGAAACCCCATCTCTACAAAAAACACAAAAATTAGCTGGGCATGGTGGTGTGTGCCTATAATCCCAGCTACTTTGGAGGCTGAGGCAGGAGAATGGCGTGAACCCGGGAGGCAGAGGTTGCACTGAGCTGAGATCGGGCCACTGCACTCCAGCCTGGGCGACAGAGTGAGACTGTCTCAAAAAAAAAAAAAAAAAAGTGAAAGGCTTTAGTATTTTTGCTATATTGTTAATTGAAACAATTCAACAGCCTTTTTCAGCATCAGCTATATATATATATATAGTCAATGGCCCTTTGATATTTAGCTACACGTTAGATAAAAAGGATAAGAATATATTTACAAGAACATGTGAAAACAGTACATTTTTTCTCACAGTCTGTGTGACGTTTTATCTTTTTCACATTTTTCACATGAAAATAGTCTTTAATCCAAATTTTGCGGGTAGATAATCACATTTATATAATTTTGCATTGTCATTTTGCCTCATAGATGTAAAAGGAATGAATAAAAAATAATTTTTAGGTCTCTTTTAATACCAAATAATTATGAACTATAATTTTTTTCACCATATAATTGGTACAGTAACTCCCAAGTTAGAAGTTAGAGATATAGTTTCTAGGACTAGCCAAACTTGCTTATTTGTTAAGACATTTTCCTCAAACTTAATAAATTCAAATGGATGAAAAAATGTGTGGGGGATTTCGATTTCCACAAATATGACTGACTACGGATCTTGCATCTCTCTTGATTTTTATTCATATAACAAATCAAAATGCTAAGTTGGGACACACAAATGGGCATGCATAACGTGTAAAGCATGGATGAGCCTGCATGAAGGTGAAGGAAGTCCATGTGGGCAGGACCTAGGCAGGAGCACAGCACAGGGAGGAAAGCTAGCATTGAAGCCACCAGACTCCCTGGGACCACACCCAGTGTCCTGTGGCCTAGAGTTCAAACCTGAGACCATCTGCATAAAGCCAGACCCCTGAGAATGGAAAAACAATCTACCTAACTCCTGTCTCAATTTTCATAAAGATGGAGAAAAAGTAAAAACTTCACCCCTGTTAATGTGGTACCCACTGGGCTGCCATGGTTGGGAACCTAAGCCCATACTGTTTATGCGAACCTCAATACACAAGCCAAAATTGTACTATAAAGAGGACCTGCGTCTACAGTGCTCAAAGGGATCTAGAAGAAACAAGCGCACATCCTACGAAGGAACATTCAGACTGACAGCTAGCTGAGCCACAAAAACAATGAGCAAAGCAAGAACACAGTGAAACGCCCTCAATGTGTTCAGAGAAAATAATGGGCAATGGAGAATAGTTTATACGGCTAAAGTATCTTTCGAGAATGAGGACAAAATAAAGACAAATGAGCAGATTTTGAAAGAGTTTACTTCTAAATAAGCCTCATAAAACAGCTTCTAAGGTTGGGCTTCAAAAACAAACAAAGAATAAGGTCCCATAAGGAAGGTCTGAAATGTATCAAGGAAGGGAGACAAGGAACACAGAGGAGATCTGACTCTTGCTTTTGTTAATATCAAACAATGTCTAATTTGTGGGTTATAAAAGCAAGGCAGAAATTTTAAAAATACAACTGCAAGTGTGATTTGAAAGGAATGATGAGAAATAAATCATTCTTAGGTCCTTGAATCTGAGGGTGAAGAAAGTAAAGACACTGATTAACTTTAGGACTTACGTTTTATACACACATTCAAATTTTAAGGGTGACTATTAAAATAGTATAACAAAGGACATAGCTTCCAAACAGTAATGGAGATGTAAATTAAATACTATCTTCAAAAGGAGCCATGAGGAAGGGGAATGAGGTGACAAGAAATACAGGAAAAGCAAGGCACATAGAAGTTTCAGTAATACTCATAACCAAGACTCATATACATAGTGCTCTGAATATATAGTGCTCTGAATTTTCCAGACAATGTTTGACATGTGTTAAATAAACCAATTCATTTAATGCTCACAGTGAACTTGTGAGGTGGGTACTATGCCGTTTTCTAGAGAATTTGTCTTACTGGATTGGAAAATAAAAACCTGTCCACTTAGAAGAGACTAACATGAGATCTATGTTGTTGATTCATTTTCCCATGTCTGTGATGTGATGGACATTTGGGTTGTCTCTCTTCTGGGGCTATGATGAATCAAGCTGCTGTGACCATTTCTAGGCAAGTATTTTTGTGAACCAGGTTTCAATTCTTTGGCACAAATATCTAAGCCTAAGAAACTGCCAAACAATTCTCCTAAGTGGTCGCACCGTTTTATAAAGCTGTTCAGCAGTATATGAGAAGTTTTGTTGCCCCATATTTTTGCCAAATCTTATTACTATTGGGTTTTAAATTGTAATCATTTTAGTGTGTGAATGGATAAATTGCTGTGATTTTAATTTGCATTTTCCTGATAACTGATGGTGTTGAGCAGCTTTTAATCTGCTTGTGGGTCATGTATTTTCTATTTTCAAATGTATCTCAATCTTTTCCATATTTGCAATTTTTCTTTATATTGTTATTATTTAATTGCAAAAATTATTTATACCTTTTGGATACAAGTTCTTTGTCAGACATATATTTTACAAATAATGTCTCCCAGTTGGTGGTTTGAATTTTCTTATGAATGTGAACTTTAAATATTTATATAAGAACATAAAGAATATGTCATATTTAGAGATAAATTTAAGAAAATAGGTGGAAAATGTCCACACTGAAAACTAAAACATTGCTGAGAAAATTAAATTTCTAATAAATGGTAAGGTATACTTTGTGATTGGATTGGAAAACTCACTATTTTTAAATATTAATTTTCCCCAAATTAATGCAATAGATTCAATGCAATTCCAATCAAAATATCAGCAGGATTTTTGTGTGGAATTTGGCAAGGTGATTCTAATATTTAAATGGAAACACAAACAATGATAGAATAGCTAGAATCTTATTTTTTAAGTAACACATTTCCATCTTTATTAATTTTATTTATAAAAATTCCATTCAGTGTATTAACTATATTCTTGGAACAATATTCTTTGATTAAATTAATTAAAAACTATTTTATGGGAGCTCTATGGAGGTATGCGTTCTTTAACAGATGGAGCTAAAGGGCATAAAAGTTCAAGCAGCCGATAACTGGGAATTGAATAACTTATGGATGTTTTGTTGAAGCTAATGTACAGTGAATTACACCTTTGTGTAAATGTAAAATTATTTTTATGAATATAATATTATACTATTTTGTCATTTTTTTTGAGATGGAGTTTTGCTTTTATTGACCAGGCTGAAGTGCAATGGTGCAGTCTAGGCTCACTACAACCTCAACCTCCTGGGTTCAAGTGATTCTCCTGCCTCAGCCTCCCAAGTAGCCAGGATTACAGATGCCTGCCACCATGCCCGAATAACTTTTGTATTTTTTAGTAGAGATGGGGTCTCACCATATTGGTCAGGCTGGTCTCAAACTCCTGACCTCAAGTGATCCACCCATCTCGGCCTCCCAAAGTGCTGGGATTACAGGCGTAAGCCAACACACCCGGCCTATTTTGTCATTTTTAACTTTAGCTTTTATTTAATATTCTTATTGAAACAATGTGATTTAATTATCAAATATTTATATAGCTATATAAAACCAAATCAGACCTGGCCCCACAGCTCCTCTTCATACTGCTGATGATCGCCATGTACAATTCTGGGAGGAGGGAAAAGAGATTAGAGACAATGAATGCTTTTCCTTTTGCTCAATATCGTTGATCAAATAATTTGTCTGCGCCCATATAACAGGCCTGAGAAAATGGTGTAGTTTTATTAGAGGTAACTTTCCAGAATCAATAACTTTGCTAATGAATATAAAAGCCTGGGTGCCTTGCAGCCCAAATTCATGCAATTGGATGGCTTGTTGTAATCAAGCACCCGCGTTAGCGTTCTGTTGTGATGAAATAAGTGCTCCGTAATTTAGTCCTCAAGTGCTTCTGGCATTTCAACTCTTTGTTGGCATATAAAGCATACGTTTCTCCTGTAGTAAAAAGTAATTTATTGACTTTAAAAAAAAACTTTATCACCTGTGATGAACAGACTATTGGCCTCATAAGCCTTTCTATTCAAACATTACTGGGCAGAAGTTGGCTTGCTCAAATCTTAGCAAATTGAAATTCAATCCAGATCAATAAGTTTTTTTTAATTCAATTTGGTCCTGGAATGGAAATAATCATCACATTTTATAGTAAGTGTGTCTAATTTCAATTTTCATACTCTATTTATTCTGTATAATCAAGCATAACTGCTGGCCTTGTTCCTTTGAGCTGACAAATTCGTGGGATAGATGTGCGCCTAGCAGGTAACTCTTTATTTGGGAGGTAGTAGGGAAAGACTGTGCTTAGACATAATAATGAAAATTTGATAAATGTCAACCTAGAACTTATAAGTGTCCCTAGGAATTTAAAACAATTCTATTTTCTCATTGTCTACATAGGTAACAAAAACGTATGCATAATGGTGCATTATTTTACTTAAATAGCAACTAGTTTGTCTCTATGAAATGCTTCCAACAGAAAAAAATATAAAGGACTATAAATTAGATGTAGTTCTTAGCTAAAATATTCTGTGATGGGCTATCAGAATTGAAGTAGTTAAATGCACTGTGTCAGTTAGCTTTTGCTGTGTAACAAACCACTTAACCTTACTGGTTTAACATGACGACCATTTATTAGCTCATTCTATGAAAGCAATTTCAGCTGCACTCTGCTTGGAAGTTCTGGTCTGGGCTAGACTTATGTGAGCATCTGTGATAACCTTGGTCAGCTTGTGGATCATCAGAGACCACCTGGCCACTCAGATCACTGGTGGTTAAACCATGGTTGGCTCAGGGTTGGGCGCAGTGGCTCACGCTTGTAATCCCAGCACTTTGGGAGGACGAAGTGAGTGGATCACCTGAGGTCAGGAGTTCGAGACCAGCCTGACTAACATGGTGAAACCCCATCTCTACTAAAAATACAAAAATTAGCCGGGCATGGTGGCACACTCCTGTAGTCCCAGCTACTCAGGAGGCTGAGACAGAAGAATTGCTTGAACCTGGGAAGCAGAGGTTGCATTGAGCTGCGATCACACCACTGCACTCCAGCCTGGGCAAAAAAGTGAGACTCCATCTGAAAACCAAAACGGAAACAAAAACAAAAATAAAACCATGCTTGGCTCAGTTGTTGGAGGCAATCATCTCATCCTCCAGAGGGCTGGTGGGCGCATATTTGCATAGTGGTCTCGGGTCTCTAAGTGTATCAATAAACATGCCTCAGCACATGAGCACTTCTCAAGTTGCTGCACATCTCATATTTGCTAATTTCCCATTTGTCAAAGCAATCTGGTTTCCAATCCCAGCGTCTGTGTAAGAGGACACTACCAAAGTGAATGAAGGCAGAGAGTGAGAGCAAATTGGAGTCACTGCTGCCATCAACCTGCCTCTGCCTGCACTACCAAAGTGAATGGAGACACAGAGTGAGAGCAAATTGGAGTCACTGCTGCCATCAACCTGCCTCTGCCTGCACTACCTCATGAGCTGTTCTTTCAGCACTCCCTCCTGCATATCCGTAGAGCACCACTTCCTGATTTCTAGAGCTGGGTTGTATTTGCGAATATTTCAACAGCCTTTGCCTAATTCCTGATAACAAAATAAAGGTACATTTATGAAAATATTTTAATTACCTTGCTATAATATAAAAGTTCCAAAATTTTTCTAATATATTAATTTTGAATTTTCAGTTTATTCTCTAGCTATTTTTCGAATTCTAGACTTACGTGACCATGCAAGACGTCCTACGTATTTTAGATATATTTGCAACATACTAAAATTATTTCAAGTTTTGACTCTGTTTAAAATTGCAATCCCAAACGATGTAGTTCCTCTCCTCCTTACCTTTTACTATTTTCTTCTCATGACACTCATCCTCCTTTAAATTCTCTGTAAATTATTGTGTTTATTGTCTGGTTTCCCCACATTGGGATGTATGTTATTTATACAGCCCAAAGCCTGAAATGAGGCCATTATTTGGTATGTGCTCACTGGATGCTTTTTGAGATGAATTAAATTGAGCTCTGCCAAAACACCATATACAAACCAGATGTACTCAACATTCATTCTTAAATTTAACTTAGATTGGATAGAGTTAGGCGTTGTAACTCTGAAGCTTATGTAGACAGTTGGCTTCCTCTAGAAATTCTTGATAACTATTCTTTCCCCAAATAAATACACAAATTATAAGAGTGACAGGGAAAGAGAAATCCAGGGTAAGGAACATGTATATATTCATACATACATGTATATGATGTTTAGCTTTACGTGCCCACTTAACTGGGCTAAAGGATGCCTAGAAAACTGGGAAATCATACTTTTTGCGTGTGTCTGTGAATGTGTTCCCAGAAAAGATTAGCATTTGACTTAGTATACCGAGTAAAGGAAATCACCTTCACTAAGCAGCTGGGCACTCCCATCCAATCCACTGAGGGCCCAAATAGAGCAAAAACACAGAGAAAGGGAGAATTTTCTCTCTGTTTGACCTAGGACATCCATCTTCTCCTGCCCTGGAGCACTGGTGCTCCTGATTTTCTTTTTTCTGTTTTAGAGCTGGGGTCTCTCTATGTTGCTCAGGCTGGTCTCAAACTCCTGGCTCAAGTGATCCTCCCACTTCAGCCCCCCAAATCGGTGGGATGACAGATACTGACACCACAGCCAGCTAGTGTGGTGGTCCTAATTTGTGGGCCTTTGGACTCAGACCTAATTATACCATCGGCTTTCCTAGTTCTTCAGCAGATCATGGGACTTCTCAGTCTTTAGAATTATGGGAGCCAATTCCCATAATAATCCTATAATAAATCTCTCTCTCCCTGTCATTCTTGTGTGTGCACGCTCTCTCTCTCTCTATGTCTCTCTTTGTATATATACATGGAGTCATGTGTCACTTAACAAGGGGGGATACATTCTGAGAAATGCGTTGTTAGGCAATTTTGCCTTTGTGTGAACATTCTAGAGTGCATTTACACACATCTAGTTGGCACAGCCTCCTACACACCTGGACTAGACAGTAGAGCCTATTGTTCTAGGCTGCAAACTTGTACAGGAGGTTACTGTGCTGAATACTGCAGGCAACGGAAACACAATGGTATTTGTGTACCCAAACATAGAAAAGGGACGGTAAAATTATGGTATAAAATATAAAAACTGGTATACCTGTGTAGTTCACTTCACATGAATAGAGCTTGAAGGACTGGAAGCTACTCTGGGTAAGTCACTGAGTGAGTAGTGAGCGCCTATGAAGGTCTGGGTAACAACTGCAAACTTCATGAAAACTACTTAGAGGCTACACTACATCATTAAAAAAGAAACGCTCTTCCTTCCTTAATAAATTAAAGTTGGCTGATGTAACATTTTCACTTCATAAACTTTTAATTTTAACCTTTTGACTGTTTTAACCTTTTGACTATTTTGTAATAACACTTAGCTTGAAACATAGGCATATTGTACAGCTGCAGAAAAATATTTTCTTTATATCTCTATAAGTTTTCCTCTATGTTTATTAATTTTTAGTTTTTTAAACTAATACACAAACACACATTAGCCTAGGCCTACACGGGGGTCAGCATCATGAATATCACTGTCTTCCACCTCCATCTTGTCCCACGGGAAGGGCTTCAGGGGCCAAACACACATGAAGCTGTCATCTCCTGTGATAGCAATGCCTTCTGGAAGAGCTCCTTAAGGAGGTACCTGAGGCTGCTTTACAGTTCACTGTTTTTGTAAGTAGAAATACACTCTACCATAATGATAAAACATACGATATAGTAAACACATAAACAGGTAACAGTCATTTATTATTATTGTCAAATATGTACTGTACATAATTACATGTGCTATATTTTTTTTTTTTCAGATGGAGTCTAGCTCTATTGCCCAAGCTGGAGTACAATGGCACGATCTTGGCTCATTGCAACCTCCGCCTCCTGGGTTCAAGCAATTCTCCTGCTGCAGCCTCCAGAGTAGCTGGGACTATAGGCACGCACCACCATGCCCGGCGAATTTTTGTATTTTTAGTAGAGACGGGGTTTCATTATGTTGGCCAGGCTAGTCTCAAACTCCTGACCTCAGGTGATCCACTAACCTCGGCCTCCCAAAGGGCTGGGATTACTGGCATGAACCACCGTGCCTGGGCTGTGCTATACTTTTATATGACCGGCAGCACGATTTGTTTACACCAGCATCACCACAAACATGTGAGTAATGCGCTGCACTATGACTTTATTCTGGCCACAGCATCACCAGGCAATAGGAATTTTCCAGCTCCACTAGAATCTCATGTCATGGTACCACCATTGTCTATGTGGTCTTCTGTTAAACATTGTTACGAGGTGCTTGGCGGGGTGTGTGTGTGTGTGTGTATGTGTGCACATATATGTGTGTGTGGATGTGTGTGTGTGCGCCAGGGTGTGGGTGTGTGTGTGTGTATATATGTGCGTGTGTTCTGTCTCTGGAGAACTATCCCTAATACGCTGTATATAACATATACATTTATGGATATATCTATGTAAAGACATGCATAGATACAGATGCGTGTATATGTAATATACACAGACATTTAAATCTGCAGAAAATGTATTTTGGATGAAATTCATTTTTCCATTTTTATTTCATAATTAACTTCATCATTCCAAAAGGCCCCACCCAGGAAACAACATTTGTAAAAAGTAATGAAGTAGATTTAATCTAGTTGAAATTAGTTTAGATCCAATAGTTTAAAGAGCCCTTGTTACTAATTCTCAGTGTTTTGGAATAACAGCTCTGTGTCTGGCTATATGCATCGTGGTTAAATGCACAGATTCTAGAACTGAATGGCCGAGAGCACATCCCTTGCTCTTTCACTCACTAATGTGACCTGGAGCAAGTCATTTACCACCTCCATACACTCATCCCTCCGTATCCGCAGGGGAGTGGCTCTAGGACCCCCAAAGACACCAAAATCTACAGATGCTCAAGTCCCTGATATAACAAGGCACACTATTTCATATAAGCTACACACATCCTCGCTTTTTCTTTAATCATCTCTAGATTACTTAGAATACCTAATACAATGTAAATGCTATGTGAATAGTTGTTATACGGTTTCGTTTAAGGAATAATGACAAGAAAAAAGTCTGTACCTGCTCAGTACAGATGCGATTTTTTTTTAATTTTTGAATATTTTCAATCTACAGTTGGTTGAATCCAAGGATGTGGAGCCCACGGATCCAGAGAGCCAACTGTACTCAATATGATTTTTTACAGATTCTTCCATATTTCAAGCACTGTGCAAGGCACTAGAATAGAACAACAGACAAGACCTACAAGAAGCCTCTTGGGGCTGGGCGCGGTGGCTCACACCTGTAATCCCAGCACTTTAGGAGGCTGAGGTGGGCGGATCACAAGGTCAGGAGTTTGAGACCAGTCTGGCCAACATAGTGAAACCCCATCTCTACTAAAAATACAAAAAATTAGCCGGGCGTGGTAATGCGCACCTGTAATCCCAGCTACTCGGGAGGCTGAGGTAGGAGAATCGCGTGAACTCAGGAGGTGGAGGTTGCAGTGAGCCAAGGTCACGCTATTGCACTCCAGCCCAGGCGACAGTGTAAGACTCCATCTCAAACAAACAAACACAAAACAAAACAAAACAAAAAAGAAGCCTCTTGGACTTAGTCTGGTGGTAAATAGACAATGACAAGGCAGTGGTGTGTGTTATGGTAACACAGTACCAAGCGCTATGGGATACTGTGGACACACACATAAGGGCTTCTCCACTTAAACTTACGAATTTATGGAAGATTTTCCCAAGTCTGTTACTCGAAATGAAGATAAAAATGAGGAATAGAAGTTAACTATATAAAGTATGGGTTGTAGGTAGGAAGGAAAAATGCTGTAGAGAAAAATGCTTGATGCTAGAGATGACATGGTGTGGTTTAGGAACTGAAAACAGGGCACCTGGACTGCAACTAGACTGAGGGCGGCAGGAAGAGTGGAGTCAAGACTGAATGGTACAGAAACAGTGTGTAACATAGAGAAGTTCATTTGAGCTTTATACATTCTGACTTGCCTTTCAGAATCGATTACCTTAAAAATAGCTAATTTGACAGCTAAGCCTGGTGGCGGCGCCTGTCGTCCCAGCTACTCGCGAGGCTGAGGCAGGAGAATGGCGGGAAGCCGGAAGGCGGGGCTTGCAGTGAGCCCAGATCGCGCCACTTCACTCCAGCCTGGGCACAGAGTGAGATTCTGTCTCCAAAAACAAACAAACAAACAAAATATATATATATATGCAAATATATATATATGCAAATATATATATATATGCGCATATATATATAATTATGGCCAGGCACAAAAACATCTGGAGTCCAGAGGATGGCACCAAATATGACTTCCCTTTTCCTCTCAAGCAGACAACGGTTCGCCACAGAGAGCCCACCGAGACGAAAGGGCATCAGGAGCCGTGTCTCCTGGACGTTGCCTTCCACTCCCTGTGCTTCCTCTCATCCAGCTTTTCCTCCCTGCTTCATGTCTCCTCAGTCGTTTCTATTCCTCTATCTGCCGCCAAAGGGCGGAGATGCCTTCAGGTCGTGTGTAGAAACCCCAGACGGGTTTAGTGAACCTGAGAGCACAGGGTGTGCCTGAATCCTGAGGAGATTCCAGGAAAGCCGCAGCGCCCCGTGACCCCGCGCGGCCCAGGAATCAGCGAGCGGAGCGTCTTTTTCGTTTGTCTCAGCTGTCAGGTGCCAGATTGACAGAGACCCGTACCTGACGGCCTGAGAACCCTAGAGGGCCAGGGAAGTCGTCACGTACTTCAGCTTGCCAGAGAGGGATGGAGAAGCCGCTGACGGAGGCCTGTGACCATCAAGCGGGCGTGTGGCCAGAAGAGAGGGTTCCTCTGGGAACTGGCAGCTGAGACCAAACAAAATGGCGGACACCCCCACAGACGCCCCTGTGCGGAGGAGAGGATCGCCAAGGGTGAGAAACCTCCCCCCACCTCACACACGTGGCGCCAGGAGGGCCGCCAAGAATCTGACTTGACTCTGGACAAAGAGGGTGCTTAAATGGCCAGAGGAGACTCTGAATATTATTAATATGTGAGTTTTCACTACTTGATGGAAAAATCCACAAAAAAAATGACATTCAGCTATAAAAGAAGTAAATTGGCCACTTCACCCATGAAATTTGTCTGGGAATCTTTATCTGCTCTACCCGCAAAGGCTCTGCTTCCGCCTTGTCTCTCTCTCCCTCTCCCTCCCTCCCTCCCTCCCTCTCTCTCTCTCTCTCTCTCTCTCTCTCTCACCCCACTCCACCAAAGCAGAAGGGAAATACAGACAGTCGGATGAGATGCATAGAAGATCATCCTGTCAAATAAAGGCAATTTTCAGCGATGGAAAAAGGAATATTTTTATGATCATTATTGTAGGTATGTTTTTGTATCGTATTCAAAAGCGTATCTTGGCTACAATAATTAATGTAACATCATTAGGAAAAGAAAACCTCAACATGCCTCCTCTTCCTTTCTTTACTCACAGAATAATGGAATAAAAATGTCTGTGAATAAACTCATTCTTTTGCCAATGATAAGAAAGCATTTTCTTAAGAAAAATTAGAATCCTCTATTTTCCATTCCTGCTAATTATTTGAATTTAACTCTTGGGTCTGCTATCTAAACAAGTCTACTAGGATGTACTGAAGACAAATATAAGGATTTAACAAAAAATATCATTAGTTAATCTAATTCCAAAGAGCAGAACTTTCTTGGAGAAATTAACAGTGAAAGGAATATTCTATCAAAGGTATTTTTAATTTTAAAATGCTGAAGTCAAAAGACTGATTATCTCATAAAAGGAAATAAAGAATCATCAGTAGCTTTACTGACTGCTTTTTCTTAAGTTTTATTATTGTTTCAAAGAACTTTTTTACACGTTATCAGAATTTGAGAGAAAATATTGATTTATTATCTTGACCCATTCAAGCTAAAAATATATTACTGAAACTATTTTAATCAAATGTTTGCAAATTATATATTGCTTGAATTTTCAAAAGACATTCGCTTTAATAAATATTGATTTTTAACAAAAACATTTTATTTCTTGAAAGTTGACAGATACTTTTCGTTTCTTTTCTTAAAGACAATTAAATACAACAAGCTTTGTGGAAAGAAAACATTGGCAAAATTCAGTTAACTATAAATATAGCCAACCTCCTGAAAGGAATATTATGAAGACTAACAAAGTCAGAAACAAGCAAATGCACAGTGGTTATTATTCCAGTCCAAATTATGATTACAATTGTGTACAATTTCCTAGTCAAAACCAATTTCTTATTTGTTCCCAATTCCGGATAGAAACCTTAAAGTAAATTACAAGTATGAGCTAAGTTTTCTTTGCCAGTAGTGTTTGGCAAACAATCGCCTTGTGATCACTGTAGATGATCAATTTAATTAGATGTCAGAATCAATGAACCACAGGCGAGTGAGGTGAATTGCAACCATGAAGTCTAACCCTTTTTCCAAGGCAAAGATACACTGAATTTGAGGTGTTTATTGTTTTAGCTTTCCATGATTTAAGACTATCATCAGAAGGCATAGCCTTCTCTCTTTAGAATCTACAGTTCTGCAGTGCCTACAAATTGTAAATGACATGTGAAGCTTTCACAAATTTGCTCTGAGTTATTAGGTATATAATCCAAGCCCATGTGGAACTTTCCCTTATGGAACTCCTCAGGGCTGAGCGCTCCCCACATATTTGCCAGCATGACTGAACTGGGGTTGTACAGAGAAGTGAGGGCCTAGAAATGTAATGGATGGACTTTAGCCACAACCTGTCTGATATGAGCACACAATTCCAGAGTCGGTAAGTCAGGCTGATTAATGGAAGTGAGCAGCTCAGAATAAGTGGCAGTTCAAAGACAATAAATCTCGCAGTGTAGCCAAGCTCTAGCCCATTCTTTTTTTTTCATGGAGTCTCTCGCTCTGTTACCCAGGCTGGAGTGCAGTGGCGCGATCTTGGCTCACTGCAACTTTTCGCCTCCCGGGTTCAAGTGATTCTCCTGCCTCAGCCTCCCGGGTAGCTGGGACTACAGATGCACACCACCATGCCCGGCTAATTTTTTGTATTTTTAGTAAAGACAGCATTTCGCCTTGTTAGCCAGGATGGTCTCCATCTCCTGACCTCGTGATCCACCCGCCTCGGCCTCCCAAAGTGTCAGCATTACAGGTGTGAGCCACCGCGCCTGGCCTTAGCCCACTCTTTTGAAGATGACAGGGAAGCAAATATGTGGCACAGTGAAGACTGTGAGAAATAGAACTGTCTCAGACAAGTGTGCATACTCCAAATACAAGTACAGAAAACATCCAAGACTACTAACAGAAATCAGGAAAAATATCAAATCAGAACATGGAACACTGCAACTTCTCATTTTAGAAAAAGACAATGTAGTTATTTGAAGTAAAAACACTTCCAAATTTTCAATGTATTGTTTTAAAACATGAATGCACTGAAGACAAATATAAGGATTTAACAAAAAATCTCAATCTGATTCCAGAGAGCTGAACTTTCTTGGAGAAATTAACAATTGAAAGAATATTCTATCAAAGATATGTCTAATTTTAAAATGCTGAAGCCCAAAGACAGATTATATCCTAAAATGAAATGAGCTATACTTCTTTTTGTCTTGAGGGAGGAAAAGTTTTTCAGAGATGAGAATCTTTTCTGAAAAATTACTATGTGTAATGTTCAAATAGCACACACACATGCATACCTGCTAACTGCTTTTTTGTTGATCTTGGCTTCTCCAAATGCTATGATGATATAATAATCCATATGGGGAAAGAGGATCTTCAGTTTCTTTACATTCTGAACTGGGATTGATAGATTTCATTTGGCTTCCCCAACACTGATACTGGGAGATGCAAACTTTCAGCGGAAGTGATCTGGTTGAAGGGGCAGAATGCAACACTCAGCACTAGCTGAAACACGTTAACCGTGTACAAGGCCAGAAGCCTGGGGATATTGGAAAGCAGGAAGACCGGAAGTTCGGACTTTGCCAAGCCTGTGGCCCTCTCCCTCTCTTCCCAGACAATGATGTATCCTGTGATTACTGGGAGTCATAGATGGGAGGTTGGTAGGGTCTCCCCTCAGACACAGAGAATAAAGAGTAAGAATAAATGAGTTAATTCTCTTTTAAGAATCTATTTTTTTTTTCTTTCTTAAGAACCAGAACAGCTGGAAAATATTTAAGCAGGGCTTAGTCAGCCCTGAAAAATCTTTTCTCAGTGTCCTAGGGAAGTTTTATCAGAGCAAACGTATGAAAGCAGCACGGAATTGCAGAGTATATAATCCTAGAATATCCTGGCAAACTTTAACATCTACACAGATGATAAAAATGGTCACTACTTATAGAGCACTTCTTATCTACCAGGAACATTAAGTGCACTGTATCATTTAATCCTTTCAACAACTCTTGGAGATAGGATCCCTGTCCCAGAAATAAAGAAGTAAAGTGAGTTTCCTACTTTCCCAAGATTATACAGCTGGTGAGACGTGAGGCCTACATTTAGGATCAGAGCAGCTGATTTCAAAGAATGTGTGAAGGGATGCTTACGTGGGGGAAGACATGCTCGGGTCGGAAACATCTCCAACCTAAAGCACTTGGAACTAACATTTTAAAATCAAGCCAGAGAAAAATTAATTCTGTACTTATTTTTTACATTTTAATTTAATTTTAATTTTGTGTTATTATTATTTCTGTACTACTACTCTCCTTCACCTTTAAAACAATTAGAAGACAGAGAAATAGGCAAACAAAGAAGAGAAAAAAGCGAATATGTTGCTGGTCTGACTGAAGTCCAGATCCTAGGGCTGCAGGCAGTGTTCTAACATGGCAGAAGCAGGTGCCATCAGACTCAATGATGCCAACGTACCCTCCAGGAAGGAGTGATCATTGCAAAAGGCAGATTGCAGGCTATTCTGTGAGCAAGCAGTTGGGGTTTGTGACCAAAACAATTTACATTTGAATTACCCACACTAAACAAAATGAGTACAAATGGGGGGAGAAGGGAACATGATATAAGGTTAATAACCTCAACTCTAGATGTCCTCAAAAGATAGGTGGAACAGATAGAATGAAGGTGACAGCAGGGAGGATAGTGGTGGTGGCTAACACCTCAGGAACTCTTGGTTTTAGAATCAGATTTCATTAATTGAAAGCAATAAAATGGGGCAGTAAAACAAACGCTTCGGGAAGAAAGAAACCCGTATTGGGTAAAGCTCAAAGTCCTAGTGATGCCAAGATATTGAGTTAATTAGGTTAGGAAAAAAGTATTCATGAATAAGGTAATTGAACACTACAACTTTGTAGCCTTTTTTTTTCTTTGAGAGTATCTGATCTACAGTGTATCATTTGCAAAATCTCATATCAACCAGTGGAAATGAAACGGTAGAGTTCCCTGACCCCCCTCACAGGACATGCGACAGGGGTGTGGCTCGTATGTTCTGCCACTGCACACTCAAACCCCTTATGGGAGGGGGGCACACAGGCAGGTGCAGGAGCCAGGCTGAGTGTGTTTTGGGCTCTGGCCCCATGGTAGCATCTAAGGGTGGGTGCCTGCAACTCCCAAAGCCCAAGTGGACGTGTGTTACAGTGCACTCTTTTAGCTTTGCTGTTTGCAGATGGCTTAAGTGTTAACCAGCTCAGTGCCCTCTCAGTACCCAGGTCCTTGTCCAGAATCCAGGAAGAATCAGATTTCACACAGACTTGAAGGATGAATGCGGGGGTTTTATTGAGTGGTGGAGGTGGCTTTCAGTGGGATGGATGGGGAGCTGGAAGGTGGATGGAGTGGGAAGATGATCTTCCCCTGGAGTTTGGCCATCCAGCAGCCAATCTCCTCTCCAACCATCCCTAGCTGAACTCCTCTCGATGTTCAGATGTTCCTTCTCTTCTCTCTGCCACACCATTCTGCTATTCTTCTACTCTTCTGTTTGTTACTTCCTTGCCTGCTTCTGGAGCCTGGGGATTGGGGTTTATATGGGTACAGGATAGTGGGGCATGGCAGGTGAAAAGGCAACTTTTGGGCAGGAAAACAGGAATGCCTGTTGCCACTTAGAGCCATGGGCTTCCAGGCTTGAAGGCAGAGCCTTTGTCAGGGCACCATCATCTTCTACCCAGTATTTCCCTGTCTCCTGTCTGTATCAGAAATATAAATTTTTGTTCTGTATTAATTCAATGGGGGAAAAGACAGTTAAATCTTCCAATCTTACAGTTGAATGTTAACATTTAATTTTGCTACTAAAATAAATGATTAATATCACTACCCTGAAATTTGATAAATTTTAATATTATATCTCTGCACTCACACAGACAGTTACAAGTAATAACAATACTAAAAAAAAAAAAGAAAAAAAACTTCTAGAAAGAGAATGGAGGAAATGGGAAACTCTTATATAAAGTTTTATTTAAACTATCCCTGATTGAAATGTTGGTTAAATGTGGTAGTGTAAGCACAAATGTTATCTGCTCTGCCTTAAGAAAATCAACTAAGGCCGGGCGTGGTGGCTCACGCCTGTAATCCCAACACTTTGGGAGGCCGAGGCGGACAGATCACCTGAGGTCAGGAGTTCGAGACCAGCCCGGCCAAGATGGTGAAACCCCGTCTCTACTAAAAATACAAAAATTAGCCAGGCATGGTGGCGGGTGCCTGTAGTCCCAGCTGCTCAGGAGGCTGAGGCGGGAGAATCACTTGAACCCAGGAGGTGGAGGTTGCAGTGAGCTGAGATCGCACCATTGCACTCCAGCCTGGGGGACAGAGCAAGACTCTGTCTCAAAAAAAAAAGAAAGAAGAAAGAAAATCAACTACGAGGACAGCAAAATAAATTAAAACATCCTTAAGCCCACTAGGACAAAAGAATGGGAGTAGTATTAGAATATAAAAAGTTTAATATTTCTTTGACATTTAACAGACTAGTAGGCATTGATTTAGTACAATAAAGAAAGCCACAACCTACGAAGAAAACAAATGTGATTCACTCAGAGAATCTCAGAAAGTTTCCTAGCTAGGAGTCAGCAAATAAGCAACCATGGGGGACTGGGTGAGGCTTAAATTCAGAAATAAAGTGATTACGTGTGTTCTAATTGCAGGCACACAAGACCGTTCCCGTGGCTCCCAGAAGGCTGCGGTCAGACGTTATCTCCAAGGAGGAAATTCTCCTTTAGACACTGGGGTCAGGTGATGCCCAACAACAAAGGTCCGCTCTGTTAAGGGGACCACTGGCCAATACGCCATCCCATACGGACTCCCAATCATCTCCCAGTGCATCACACTTAGTCATGAATGCAGAGCCAAGGACCACTGGCCAATACACCCACTCCCTACGGACTCCCAGTCATCTCCCAGTGCATCACACTTAGTCATGAATGCAGAGCCAAGGACCACTGGCCAATACACCCACTCCCTACGGACTCCCAGTCATCTCCCAGTGCATCACACTTAGTCATGAATGCAGAGACAAGGACCACTGGCCAATACGCCCACTCCCTACGGACTCCCAGTCATCTCCCAGTGCATCACACTTAGTCATGAATGCAGAGGCAAGGACCACTGGCCAATACGCCCACTCCCTACGGACTCCCAGTCATCTCCCAGTGCATCACACTTAGTCATGAATGCAGAGGCAAGGATCAGGAGGCACTGGGGACAGAGTTTTCATGTGAGTGGAACAAAATCAGTCTGACAGATTAAAGGAAACACAAAAGAAGAGAGAGAGTGCAGAAACAGAAAAAGTTATATTCGGAACCCTATTTCTAAGTATCTTTGAAGATACAAGACCTACAGCAAGAAAAAGATAGCAAGGAGAAGCAGCTCTTTCGTAATGCATATATAGGTGGTAAAATTATAAACACAGCTAAGACATGATGACACTAAAGGCAGAAAAGTGTTTGACTCCTGGGGGTACTGGGGTAGGGGCATGAGGAAGAGTGTGGTGACTGGAGAGGGACACCTGGGAGACTGCTAGGTTTTGGTAAGACTTTATTTCTTTACCTGTGTGGTTGTTGCATATTATATGGCTTTATAACCACTTGTTAAATATACATTTACATTTTGCACATCTTTCTATATGTATGCTGTATGTCTCTTTCTCTCACACACACACACAGTGATAAAGGGCAAAAATGGAGAAATTGAAAGGGCTCTTGGAAAATACAACTCTGACAATACCCCACCCTCCTTCCAAAAAAAGAAAAGATTGAAAGTGGAAGATGGAAAGTCGAGGTGGGAAATGAGGAAGCGTATTTGCAGATGATATAAAGAAAACATTCTCCCAAAATCATCCACAGAACTTGAAATAGAAAGGAAAAGTCTACTTTTAATGAAAACAGGAGTGAGGTGAAATGCCAAACCTCAACACAGAGAAAAAGCCTGCCAGCCCAGGGCAAACTGAGCAGGGCTGCTTGTGGGGAGGAGCAGAGTACTGACACTGAGGCCGCGGACACCATAAAGCCCAATGTGAGAGGCCCGTCCTAGAGGGCTCGCCACAGTGGCACTGGAGGCACGGGCTGCTACTAATTTCCCCCGGTCCCGGGTCACAGTCTAGAAACAGAGGTAGAGTTAGACGTGGGCCACCAAACCCACCACAGCCAGATGACAGGCTGGGGCAGAGCAATGGCCGCTGGATACCAAATATGACTGTGAGGCTCTACCTTGTCCTAGCCAGGGACCTGGCCCTCCATGAAATGCTTCCCTCTACCTACAGGAAAGAGACGGTTCAGGAGAAACAAAACATAGTCCAAAATGAGGAATCAGAATTAATTATAAATGCCTTAAAATAATGCAAAATAAGCAGAGTTACACAAGCAGAAAATGCATGCCCGATCCAGAAAGTGCATCCGAAACTGTAAAATGTGGCCACTGAGAAGCTGCACCAAATATTTTACCACTATTAACAACAGGCAGGCGCAGTGGCTCACGCCTGTAATCCCAGCACTTTGGGAGGGCGAGGCGGCTGGATCATTTGAGGTCAGGAGTTCGAGACCACCCGGGCCAACATGGTGAAAACCCATCTCTACTAAAAATACAAAAATTAGCTGGGCGGTGGTGGCGCTCGCCTGTAATCCCAGCTACCTGGGAGGCAGAGGCGGGAGAGTTGCTTGAGCCTCAGAGGCAGAGGTTGCTGTAAGCTGAGATCACGTCACTGCACTCCAGTCTGGGTGACAGAGAGAGACCCTGTCTCAAAAAAAACACGAAAAACAAAAAACAAACAAAAAAAAACAACAAAAAACAACAACAACAAAAGAATGCAAAATAATGAAACAATCGCCACGCTGAGCCAGAGGCAAATGGCCAACCACCAGACCACAGGCAGGCTATGACGGGCTAGTCGCCCTCTGCCATCCTGCTAAGGCACTGCAGTCATGTGAGCAAGCCTGGGCGAGATTAGCCAGAGCCAGCCCAGACCATGGGAACTCTTCAGCAGATCCTTAGGTTAACAAACTGTTGCTGTTTGAAGTGACTAAATTTGGGGATAATTTCCTAATCAACAGAAGCTAACAGACACACTTGGAAATTACAGATTTGAAATAGATGTGGAATGTCTCCCTCATCACCTATGTTCCATTGCCCTTGGAACAGGGGGGCTGTGAATCAATATGTGGCTTGTAGCTTTGTGTCTAGAAATAGCATAAAAAATTGTTGGGAAATCAAGGCGGTGGCTTCTGATTATCCATGTGGCCCGCAAGCACCCTGACTCTTGTTTGTGGCAGCCACATAGGCCCTGGATAGGTGAAAGGGCAAAGGGAGCTGTGGGTGCCCCAGGACACCAGCTGTGTCTCCCGGCCTGTATCCTCCTTTAAAGCCCAGTAAATGTAGCATCAGATTAAAGCTGTCTGTGTCTTGCAAGTCTGATGGCCAGCTTGAATCTGTAATCACAAGGGCAGTGTGTAGCAGTATTCAATACTGAAAGAGCTGAGACCTGTGAAATTTTGCACCAAGAAAGTGCAACCCGGAAATTTTATACCAACTATTATTTCAATCAAGTATAAACGCAATACAAACTGATTTTTGAATGTTCAAAGATATGGGAACATTGTTTATATGGAACTGCTTGGAAAATCTAGCAAACAACAATCATCAGTGAACCAAATGTTGATAGGGTATGAAAAGTTGCAGCCAGGGCCTGGTGACGAGCATGGAACCTGCCTGATGGTAGGAGAACTCAGTGAAAGAGACAAGAACGGGAACAGAATGTCAGCACTACAAATGTTAAAACCATCGCTGTGATCTGACTACCACGGAGTGTTTTGTGTGGCATCACTGATTTTCTTCTCTTTAAAACACAGGGCAGAAAAAGCATAGAAGTAAGAAAAAGTAGCAGAAAAGAAAAAATAAGCGTGTGATTCACAATGAAGATATGCCAGTTATGAATTCTAGAGATTAAATAACAGAGCATCAATGTTCTTAAAACAAAAAGTAGGCCGGGCGCGGTGGCTCACGCCTGTAATCCCAGAACTTTGGGAGGCCGAGGTGGGCGGATCACGAGATCAGGAGATCAAGACCATGCTGGCTAACATGGTGAAAGCCCGTCTCTACTAAAAATAAAAAAAATTAGCCAGGCATGGTGGCGGGCGCCTGTAGTCCCAGCTACTCCGGAGGCTGAGGCAGGAAATGGCATGAACCTGGGAGGCAGAGCTCGCAGTGAGCCAGGATCGCGCCACTGCACTCCAGCCTGCGCGACACAGCAAGATTCCGTCTCAAAAAAAAAAAAAAAAAAAAAAAAAAAAGTAGAGCATGCATAAGGAAAGACACAGACACAGGAGCACAGCAGGGAAAATTACATCACCTCTATCAGGCTGTGACTGCTGAAGAGAGCAATAGTAAGTCATGATGTAAAAATGTAAATCACATAGTTTTCTCTAATTGACAGATAACAAACTTGGCACCTTAAAAATATAGAATGCTTTTTTTTTTGATTCCACAGATCATAAAAAAGACTATATTTCAGACCACAAAACTTCAGTAATTTCTAAAAAGCATTTTTAATTATTTGATTAAGATGCAGTGAAATTAAATAAACAATAAAACTCCAAAACACTAAAAAACATACAGTTTTTGGAAGTTTTCTTATATCATTAAGGGCCAAAGAGAAAAACGTTGAAGAATATTTGTAAAAGAACTGACCACATATGACAACATCTGTATGACCCAGGTAGATCTGCACTCAGAAGAAATTCTAGAGCCTTAAATCATCATATTAATAAAAACAAGAAAAAACTTTAATATATCAACAAAATATAGACAAAATATATAAAATAGACAGAAAATTAAGGCAGAACTTACTGACTAAAGCAAAATGGTAGTAGTAGTAGTATTTTTTAATTTAAGAGCTGTATCTTTAGCGAAGAATTTAATATGTAAACTACCTTATTCAAGAAAAAAAGAGAATGATAGTACATTAAGCAAGAAATAAGTAAAGGTCAATCACAGATAGAGACCCCTGCAATAGACCACTAAGACTACTTAATTTCATGCAAAGATCGAACAGAGGCTTTGCCTAATCTCCAGGCCGTGGGAGTCTCAACCTGAGAGAGGAAGGAGTCTCTTCTCCTGGACCTGATAGTCCAGGGGAATCTGTGGGTTGAAGGTTCTGTTCACATGTTCCTATCTCACATCTCAGAGCCCTTCTTTCCATTGAGTGCCCTCACTTTGTGTAGGACCCCTTTTAGGGCTGAGAATTTAGCCTATAGTGAGTTAAATCATGGTCTCCAAAAAGATATATCCATGTCCCAGTCCCCCAAAACTATGCCTGTGACCTTATTTAGGAAAATGTTATTTGCAGATATAATTAAGTACCTCAAGATGAGATCATCTTGGGTTATCCAGGTGGGCCCAACATTCAGTGACATACAGAAGAGAAGACACACAGAAGAAAAGACAGAGAGTATAAGTCCATGTGAATATCCAGGCAGAGATGAGTGTTGCAATCAAGAGTCCAAAGAAGAGAAGACAAGCGTATGTTCCAAGCACACTTACCCAGTTTCTTGTTCTAGGCAATTCTGTGTTGAGCTCCTCTGGGGCAGAACAAAAGAGTATTGAAAGTATTGTTGTCTCTGTGGACCAAAGCCTGTACTGACCACAAAACAAAGCCCTTCTTGGATTCACCCTCAGCCCACACTCAATCATGTGGGTACATGGCAAGAAGAGACATGAAAAGATAAAATGAAAGAAAAGGGGCCTCTTTGTCTCAAATCCCAGAGAGCTGAAATCATGGCCTTCCTTCCGGATCAGGCTGAATGGTGGCCCCCAGGGAGATGAGTCCGTGTCTTATTCCAGGAACCTCTAATTGAGACCTTATTTGGAAAAAGAGTCATCAAAGATATAATTAAGGCTTTGAAATGAGATCATCTTGGATTATCTGGATGGGCCTTAAATCCTTTGAAGACACACAGGAAAGAATGATGTGGTCAGTTTTAACATGTAGATTGTATTTTAATTCAAGTATAGTGAGGCTGTGAAAGGAATATAAAAATCTCAGGACCCCAAACTCACTATGCCAAAGGGAAAAGTGAAGCTCAGTAACTGCATCATGCAAAAACTGCCTTCCATTTTGTTCCTAAGTAGATAGCTGCAAAGACAGAAGGCCACATGTCTCCCCCGGTGGCCTCCTTCACAAATTGCTCACAAGGAAATTCCTCGTGGGCCCCAAGAGCTTTACCCTAAAACAGAACGCTGTTCTATTTCACCTTGACAATGTAAACTAACAGCTTATCTTCACCGGTACCTTGACAAAGACAGGCCTAGAGGGCATCCCTTGGCTCACCTGAGAGGAATGCATATTTGAGCACCTCCTCTATGTTTACTTTATCTTATGCAAAAATGCAGACGCACTGAGCACTATGCATAATTCACTGTTTCGCTACCCACTCCTTTCACATGTAAAATGTAGATTCAGTAAGTGCTAATCAAAGCCTCCAAAGACTAACCACTTTCCTGTTTTGTCTACCTTCTCTCTCTTTTTTTTATCCTCTTTCTTCATCTGCCCTCCCTTTTCCCTTTAAATCAGGAGTGTCCAATCTTTTGGCTTCCCTGGGCCACATTGGAAGTATTGTCTTGGGCCACACATAAAATACACTAACACTAACAAAGCTGATGAGCTAAAAACCAAACACACAAACCAAAAAATGGCAAAAAATAAAATCCCATCATTTTAAGTAAGTTTAGTAATTTGCTAATTTGTGTTGGGCCTCATTCAAAGCCATCCTGGGCTGCATGTGGCCCTTGGGCTGTGGGTTGGACTAACTTGCTTTAAATATTGAAGTCCTCAAACCCTGTTTGCATGGCCACACTGGTGATCTACCTTGCTTTATATATGAAGTTAAGTTTGTAAGTATTAGTGAATATGCCTAATAATTTGATTTATTTGTAGCATTTGCATCTAGAGAATGCTTTAAGTCTCAGTTTGTTAGCCAATGGTGTAGTCACTAACTGTATTTTTAAAATAAAAAATGCTGTTGGTAAATCGTGACTACTGACCTGGCACTAAAAATGTTTAAACTTACATATTTTTGTCCCAGGAAAATGGTGATACTTTTCTAATTATGGAACAGAGACATGTGTATCCATTTCCTGCTTGTTATAAAGACCTACAGAATGCTGGCAATAGATTGAAACTATCTTCAGGAACTCTTACTACTATTACTACATAAGTCCATGCCATTGGGTCTAGAACTGACCAGCGACTCCTATTCCAAGTGGAGGTTTCCCTGCAGTCACATCCCTATCCTGTCTTACAGCTCTCTGTTAAATGCCAATCTTTTTCTTTTGCAGGGAAGAGCGTGATTAAAGAGCTCTTGTCTCCATATTGGAAACTGGCCCTGATCACTGTGGCAGCACACTGAAGTATGTGATAAATAATTTATGAACCTCGGAGGTCTGCTGTGGGGAGATATTCACCTTTGCTCCATCCGTGCACCACACATCATGCGTCAGCGCCAACACGGGCACATGCAGTTCTGCCTCAAGGTGGGTAAAGCTACACGTTCAACAAACCCGTGAGTAGAAGTGCACCAGGGGAGCTCTGCTGCCGCAACGAGACCACTTCTGGTAATTTGGGAGCAAACTGCTTTGACCAGGAACGTTGGGAGATTATACATAGAAAAGAGGTGTTGGAATTCCTTTTTATAAATGATAAATATTACCACAAAAGGATAAAAATGGAAGATGGTTTTGAATGTCGGCAAAACTGCCCGAGAACTTTAATTAGGACAATGTCGCCACAACGACTGCTTTCAAAACCATAACTTTCAGAATGCTCTGGGCACCACATGTGCCACATGAGACTTGTTAAGGCAATTTCCATTGTAACAAACAGCCTCAAAAAAAATAAAATAAAATAAGTTGCACATGCATCAAATTTGCTTTTAAAATTATACAGGATTTAAAAGAATTTTATGGCCAGATATATTGAGCAGAGCAAAAACTTTTAACAGAATACAGAGAATAAACAGAAACTATTTATTTATACATTATTCACAAATATTCCAAGTTCTTGTTTATATCATTTGCCTTTCATCAAAAGATAAAATAATAACACAGTGTTAACAGAAAAACTTCAGTAGAATTAAACTTTTGGGTTTTTTGAGACGGGTTTTGCTTTTGTTGCCCAGGCTGGAGTGTAGTGGCACGATATCTGCTCACTGCAACCTCCACCTCCCGGATTCAAGCGATTCTCCTGCCTCAGCCTCCCAAGTAGCTGGGATTACAGGCACGCACCACCACGCCTGGCTAATTTTTGTATTTTTAGTAGAGATGGAGTTTCACCATGTTGGTCAGGCTGGTCTCGAACTCCTGACCTCAGGTGATCTGCCCTCCTCAGACTCCCAAAGTGCTGGGATTACAGGCGTGAGCCACCGCACCCGGCCAGCTGAATTAAATTTAAAGGAGTTTACTTGAGCAATGAATGATGCGTGAATCAGCTCCCAGAATCGCAGCAGATTCAGAGAGACTCCAGCACAGCCACATCGTGGAAGAAAATTTGTAGACAAAAAAAGGAAAAAGATGTACAGAAATCGGAAGTGAGTTACACAAACAACTGGACTGGTTACAAGTTTGCCTTACTCGAACACAGTTTGAACACGCAGCAGTGTGTGAGTGGCTGAAGTATGGCTGCTGGACTGGCGATTGTTCCACGTACATACTCCTAAATTAGGTTTTCAATCTTGTTGTCCTATTAAGTTAGGTTATGGTTCCTCTACAAGGACTCAAGTATAGAAGTATAGAGTCCTTCCCAGGCCATATTTAGTTCGCTTTAACAATAGATAATTCTTTTTTACAATTTGAAGTGGCTGTGTTCTTAAATTATGAACTATTCCTTACATTTCTTTATATTAGAAATTCCTAGCCTTTAAAGTAACAAACAATACCTTTAATTTATTTTCATTAGTGCTTTCTGGCCAACAATACTGTAGTATTTATTAGAAACTCATAAATTAATTTCATCATAAAGAATTATTTGATAATGCTTACTCGATACAATGTGATTTTACATATAACTACACATTAAAATTGTAAGTGCCTTAACATATATAATATTATAAAAACATAGTTATTAAGAAATGTCCAAAAGCACATTGAAAAATGTGGGGCATTTATGATTTTTTTTCAAAGTAAGATTCACTTCCATAATTGTAAGAAAATCAGGCATGTCTATTTAGGTATTTGCTTATGATGTGAGCAAACCTTTATTGTGACAATCATGGGATAAGTAAAAAGAAGTAAGACACAAATCATCTTAAAGGTGTTCTATATATATATGTGTGTGTGTGTGTGTGTGTGTGTGTATATATATATATATATATTTTTTTTTAAGACAAAATCTCGCTCTGTCACCCAGGCTGGAGTGCAGTGGCGCGATCTCGGCTTACTGCAACCTCCTGGTGAGCTTTTCTCCTGCCTCAACCTCTCGAGTAGCTGGGACTACAGGCACCCGCTACCACGCCGGGTAATTTTTTGTATTTTTAGTAGAGACGGGGTTTCATCGTGTTAACCAGGATGGTCTTGAACTCCTGACCTCGTGATCCACCCACCTCAGCCTCCCAAAGTGCTGGGATTACAGGTGTGAGCCACTGCGCCCAGCCCTGTGCACAATACATTAACAGACAGATTGTAAATAATATTATAAAGTGATAAGATGACAAAACAAAACTACAGATAAAATTCTACAGGAGCAGCCAGTAGAGAGTGATTGATCCTAACTGAAGTTTAGGAGAGACTTTATTGTAAAAACATCACTTTAGGGAGCTTTTGACAAGTCAGTCGAGCTTCATACACAGAGAAACTGGGGAAAGGGGAGGGAATAGCATAGAGATGAAAAATAAGGCGTGTTTTAGTTACTACAAATATAGAATTTGAGTTAATGCATACTGTAAAATTTGCACACTACCTACCTAATGTACACAAGTAGCCGTAACTGAATAAAAGGGCTAAAGAAAGAAATAGTGGTAAAATAAAAGTATTAACTTATGTCAACAGTGGGTTTTTTTTTCCTATTTTATTTGTTTATTCCTGGATGGATTTAGTGGATTCCTCTCTATGTCCTTTTACTCTAACCACATCGATGCATACCTGACTGATTTGTAAATGCTAGCATGTACATTTTCTGCACGAGGGCTTTCTCTGACTCTGAAACCTCCTTGGCTACTTTTTCTAGGCCTGAAATGCTGGAAAGTGATCACTCATAGGTACAGCCACGACCAATGGCTGATGGAAATTGGTGTGTAAATATTACAATTACCTTGGCCCACGGGTGGGATTACTCAGGTACACATTTTACCCTGGCTTCTCGGTTTCCGCAGTAGGATTAAGCTCCAGTTGTCCACAGTGATAACGCCCTTGAAAATAAAGCCTTTTTTGTCATTATTTTCTTCCCTATCTCACTTCCTATTCTTTTCGGATCATCTACAAAATAAACCCCTCGCACTTGAATGGCTATTTTGGTCTGGGTCCCAAATTGAAATGTACATTGGGATAAAAGTACATGAAATAAAATTAAATTACACAAGCAAGAAATAAATTTTATTTATTGTAAGCCAGTGAAACTTTGAGGTTGTTTGCTGGGAAGAATAACAGGATCTGCAATGACTAAACAATAATCTATTAGAGAAAAGAAGTCAACTACAAAATTGGAATAAAAAGCATTGTGTTATAAATAACAAAGAAGGCACTTGAAAAACAGTTGCTTCTTTTACTGTCTGAATTCACCATGGAACACGGGTTGGGCCAAAATGTGGAGATTTGGAAAAGAAAGGAGAATAATACAGGTTGTTCAGCAGAAAAACAACACAACCAAATTTTGGATGAGTGTGTTGAGAGAAAATTAAAAGGAAGTGAATCTGTATAAAGATGAGGTCAATTTCTTAATTGAACCCACCACTAAAATCTGCTTATCCACTGAATCTTCTGTCTCATTAAACATAACCACTATTCTCTCAGTCACCGAAACACAATGTGCGCCATTTGCTTCTCCCATCCCTTCCGGCCTCTCAGAGCCACTCCCCACCCCTACTCAATGGATTTGCTTCTCCCATCCCTTCACTCAGGCCTCACTCCGGCCTCTCAGAGCCACTCCCCACCCCTACTCAATGGATTTGCTTCTCCCATCCCTTCACTCAGGCCTCACTCCGGCCTCTCAGAGCCACTCCCCACCCCTACTCAATGGATTTGCTTCTCCCATCCCTTCACTCAGGCCTCGCTCCGGCCTCTCAGAGCCACTCCCCACCCCTACTCAATGGATTTGCTTCTCCCATCCCTTCACTCAGGCCTCGCTCCGGCCTCTCAGAGCCACTCCCCACCCCTACTCAATGGATTTGCTTCTCCCATCCCTTCAGTCCGGCCTCACTCCGGCCTCTCAGAGCCACTCCCCACCCCTACTCAATGGATTTGCTTCTCCCATCCCTTCAGTCCGGCCTCACTCTGGCCTCTCAGAGCCACTCCCCACCCCTACTCAATGGATTTGCTTCTCCCATCCCTTCACTCAGGCCTCACTCCGGCCTCTCAGAGCCACTCCCCACCCCTACTCAATGGATTTGCTTCTCCCATCCCTTCAGTCCGGCCTCACTCCGGCCTCTCAGAGCCACTCCCCACCCCTACTCAATGGACTTGCTTCTCCCATCCCTTCACTCAGGCCTCACTCCGGCCTCTCAGAGCCACTCCCCACCCCTACTCAATGGATTTGCTTCTCCCATCCCTTCAGTCCGGCCTCACTCCGGCCTCTCAGAGCCACTCCCCACCCCTACTCAATGGATTTGCTTCTCCCATCCCTTCACTCAGGCCTCACTCTGGCCTCTCAGAGCCACTCCCCACCCCTACTCAATGGATTTGCTTCTCCCATCCCTTCAGTCCGGCCTCACTCCGGCCTCTCAGAGCCACTCCCCACCCCTACTCAATGGATTTGCTTCTCCCATCCCTTCACTCAGGCCTCACTCCGGCCTCTCAGAGCCACTCCCCACCCCTACTCAATGGATTTGCTTCTCCCATCCCTTCACTCAGGCCTCACTCCGGCCTCTCAGAGCCACTCCCCATCCCTACTCAATGGATTTGCTTCTCCCATCCCTTCACTCAGGCCTCACTCCGGCCTCTCAGAGCCACTCCCCACCCCTACTCAATGGGCGGATCGTACCAATTCTACTACCTAGGTATTTCTCAAATTTAGCCCTCCTTTTCACTCCATGCCTGCTCTCTCAGTCAGATCCTGACTTTCTCTTGCTTGATCCATCATAATATCTTGGTTCCTACACTTCCCTCCTTGAATCCTGCATCCCTCAACTCTTATCTTCCACTGTGAGGAGTGATTGAAAACATGAATCTGACCAAATCATCATTCCCCGTGTTAGCACCTGCAAGCAGACTAAATGTGGCCCTCAAGGAGAGTGAGAAAGACAATCAGTTGAGGTGTAGAAGAAAATATGAGAAACTTTATCTATTTTTTTTTTTTTTGAGACGGAGTCTTGCTCTTTCGCCCAAGCTGTAGTGCAGGGGCACAATCTCGGCTCACTGCGGCTCTGCCTCCTGGGTTCACGCCATTCTCCTGCCTCAGCCTCCCGAGTAGCTGGGACCACAGGCGCCCGCCACCACGCCCGGCTAATTTTTTTTTCCTTTTTTCTTTTTTTTTGTTTGTATTTTCAGTGGAGACGGGGTTTCACCGTGTTCGCCAGGATGGTCTCCATCTCCTGACCTCGTGATCCACCCGCCTCGGCCTCCAGAAGTGCTGGGATTACAGTCGTGAGCCACCTCGCCTGGCCAACTTTATCTATTTTTATTTCGTTTTATAAAATAAAATAAAATACTAACATTTAATATATGGGGAGACCATACAACGTGTAGAGAAATTTATAAATACATATAGATATATTAGAGGTGACTGCTTGAGAAAGTTTTACTAAATAAATGTATAATCAGAAAAGCCTAAGGCCAGCTACTCATGCCTGTAATCCCAGCACTTTGGGAGGCCGAGGTGGGTGGATCACGAGGTCAGGAGTTCAAGAACAGCCTGGCTAAGAGGGTGAAACCCCGTTTCCACTAAAAATACAAAAATTAGCTGGGCATGGTGGCAGGCGCCTGTAGTCCTAGCTACTCTGGAGGCAGAGGCAGAGAATTGCTTGAACCTGGGAGGCGGATGTTCCAGTGAGCCGAGATTGTACCACTGGACTCCAGCCTGGGCAACAGAGCGAGGCTCCATCTAAAAAAAAAAAAAAGTCTGGAGGCAACTGGCATAAAGGCTAAAATCTGAGTTCCTTAACGCAGCATGCATAGCAAACTCCAGCTTCAACTTCCTACTGCTCCACACAAGGAACTCCACAAACTAGTAACAGCAGTTGGTGTTTAGTTCCTTGATTCACATCATGCTATTTTATGTTTCTGTATATGTCCTTCCGTCAGAAACACTCTTTTCACATGTTTTTGAATGATCTTTTCAAGGATATTTGCACTGGGAACAGCCTCGGAAGGTAAGGTAGCTTTTCAAATTCAATCTCCTGCAAAACCGCATTCAGTGACCATCAACTTCAAGAACCATCTCTTGAACTTTCACGACAGGCTAAGTGCACCTCAGTGTGCTCTCAGAGCACCCCTTGAATGTTGCTGTCATTGGCTGGGTGCGGTGGCTCACACCTGTAATCCCAGCACTTTGGGAGGCCAAGGCAGGTGGATCATGAGGTCAGGAGTTTGAGACCAGCCTGGGCAATATGGTGAAACCCCATCTCTACTGAAAATACAAAAATTAGCTGGCACATGGTGGCGGGCGCCTGTAAACCCAGTTACTGGGGAAGCTGAGGAACCAGAATCGCTAGAACCTGGGAGGTGGAGGTTGCAGTGAGCCGAGATCACACCACTGCTCTCCAGCCTGGGTAACAAGCAAGACTCCATCTCAAAAAAAAAAAAAGTTGCTGTTGCTGTCGTCACTTATATCCCATGCTATGAAAAATACTGTTTATGCCAGGCACAGTGGCTCACGCCTGTAATCCCAGCATTTTGGGAGGCCAAGGCAGGCAGATAACCTGAGGTCAGGAGTTGGAGACCACCCTGGCCAACATGGCAAAACCCGTCTCTACTAAAAATACAAAAAAATTGGCCGGGCGTGGTGGTGCACGGCTGTAATCCCAGCTACTCAGGAGGCTAAGGCAGGAGAATCACTTGAACTCAGGAGTCGGAGGTTGCAGCGAGCCAAGACTGTGCCACTGCACTTTATCCTGGGTGACGGAGTGAGACCCAATCTAAGAAAGAAAAAGAAAGGAAGGAAGGAAGGAAGGAAAGAAGGAAGGAAAAATACTGTTTCTGTGTCATGCGTCTTTATGCATTGTTTCTTCTATTCATTGGAAGCATTTTGGGTCAAGAATCATGTTTTATTTATCTTGGGATTTCTAGGATCTATAAGAGTATCTGTTACAAGATTGGGACCCAGTAAATGTTTGCTGAACTCTTATATGCTACAGAAGAAATAGCTAGAAAGCTATTGCATGTGGGCGGCAAGCCACCCAGGTGCCGAGGCAAGAGACCAAGGCAACAAGCTGTTCCAGTATAATAAAATATATAAAATAAGAATAGTTATACTAGATATAGATCATAGATATGATTATATATGAATATCATTAATCATTAGTTTGTAGCAATTACTCTTTATTCCAATATTATAATAATCCTTGCTCTATGATCATAACCTAGGAAAAACTAGGCCATACAGAGACAGGACATAGTGAGAAGTGACCAGAAGACAAGAATGCGAGCCTTCTGTCACGCCCAGACAGGGCCACCAGAGGGCTCCTTGGTCTAGTGATAACGCCAGCGTCTGGGAAGACGCCCGTTGCCAAGTGGACTGTGGTCTAGCGGTAGCGTCAGTGCCAAGGAAAAACACCCACTACTTAGCAGACTGGGAAAGGGAGTCTCCCTTTCCCTGGTGGAGTTTAGAGAAGACTCTACTCCTCCACCTCTAGTGGAGGGCCTGACATCAGTCAGGCCTGCCCACAGTTATCTGGAGGCCTAACCATCTCCCTGTGATGCTGTGCTTTAGTGGTCACACTCCTAGTCCACTTTTATGTTCCATCCTGTACACCTGGCTCTGCCTTCTAGATAGCCGTAGCAAAATTAGTGAAAGTACTAAAAACCTCTGATATGAAGAAATAATGGCGTAGGCTGTGTCCTCTCTCTCTCTCTGTCTCTCCACCTCGGCTGCCAAACAGGGAAGGGCCCCCTGTCCAGTGGACACATGACTCATGTGACCTTGTCAATCATTAGAGATGACTCACACTCCTTACCCTGCCCCTTTTGCCTTGTATCCAATAAATAACAGCGCAGCCAGGCATTCAGGGCCACTACCGGTCTCCGCATCTTGGTGGTAGTGGTCCCCCAGGCCCAGCTGTCTTTTCTTTTATCTCTTTGTCTTGTGTCTTTATTTCTACAATGTCTCATCTCCGCACACGGGGAGAAAAACCCTCCGACCCTGTGGGGCTGGTCCCTACAATTGTAAAAGCCCAGATGTGTGTGTAAGGAGAAAAAAACAAATTCTTGGTGCCTTCATTTTTCAATTTCATGTAAACTGTGGAGAAACACTTAATTGTAAAGGGTCTGAGGTTTACTCTACTTGCAATCTAATGAGTTACATTATCATTGTTTCATGGATGTTGGCAAAAGACACAAGACTCCTAGGCTAAAAAAGGGAAAAGTTGTATACTGAGTGGATTTTCTTCATAGCTATGGAAGCTGGAGCTTAGGAAACTCCAGTCATTTATAATGGACCTTGTATTAGTCTGTTTTCATGCTGCTGATAAAGACACACCTGAGACTGGGCATATACAAAAGAAAGAGTTTTAATGGACTTACAGTTCCACATGGCTGGGGAGGCCTCACAATCATGGCTGGAAGTAAAAGGCACATCTCACATGGCGGCAGACAAGAAAAGAGAACTTGTGCAGGGAAACTCCCCTTTGTGAAACCGCTAGATCTCATGAGACCTATTCACTATCACGAGAATAGCATGGGAAAGGCCTACCCCCATGATTCAATTAACTCCCACCAGGTATCTCCCACAACACATGGGAATTGTGGGAGCTACAATTCAAGATGAGATTTGGGTGAGGTCACAGCCAAACCATATCAGACCTCAAGTAAGTTTGCTCAAACTTTGTCCTAAAAGTAGTCATTATTTTAATTTTCCTAAACACCAAGAAAACCTGCCCTCTACCACAGAGGGAAAAGCTACCTTAACTTCCAAAGCTGTTCACAATGGCAATATCCTTGAAAAGATCATTTGAAAGAAAAGCTGCCAGAGTCTCTGTTTACACCACATGTGAATATATGAAATACTCCTGGGGAATCATCTCCCAAATACAAGTAAAGTATCCTAAAATATACGAGAAGGTCCTAGAGCATTTGATTTGACCAAGCTTGTGAGAGTCTACTTAAAATGAACTGTTCTTATTCTTCTGTTTTAACTGGACTTTCACTCATTTATTAAGTTTAAAAATGATCCTCCCACTGATCCAAAATTAATTTGAAGCTTTGAAAAAGGAATTACTTTTATGCTAGAAAACAACTATTTTTACTTCCCTCAAACCCAAGTTATTCAATAACTATATTATCTGTGTATATATTTACATCCTTAAGAACAGGGATCTTTGACTCTCCCACCAGGCATAGAAAAGAGGTTTATCCTTGAAGAGTTTATATCTGAAATGGACATGCCCTGTGAAGTAGTGAGTGCCAAAACACTGAGACTCTTGAAAACTTGTATCTGGATTTTGATGGTGATGTTACAAAACTTGAAACTTTTGGAGTAACCACCACCAAAGCATCAAAGCCAAGAAGTCCAGCAAGTACTTCCACAGTAACTAACGTGACAGATGCTCCTACAGCCCCCAAAGCAGGAACTACACCTGTGGCACCAAGTGCACCAGACATTTCTGCTAATTCTAGAAGTTTATCTCAGATTCTCATTGAACAGTCGCAAAAGGAGAAACAACTGGTCACTGGTATGGATGGTGGCCCTAAAGAGTGCAAAAATAAAGATGACCAGGGATTTGAATCATGTGGCAAAAAGGTATCAAATACTGACAAGTCTTCGAGGCAAGATAGTGACTTGAAAACATCTGATGCCTTACAGTTAGAAAATTCTCAGGAAATTGAAACTGCTAATAAATATGATATGACTATAGATATGGTACATGTTGATGCTGAAAGACCCAATGTTCTGGAAAACCTAGACAACTCAAAGGAAAAGACTGTGACATCAGAAGCAGCTAAAACTGAAGATACAGTTCTCTGCAGCAGTGATACAGATAAGGAGTGTTTAATTATTGATACAGAGTGTAAAAATAATAGTGACGGAAAGACAGCTGTCATGGGTTCCAACTTAAATTCTTGACCAGCTAGCCCAAATTCTTCCTCAGGACAGGCTTCTGCAGAAAACCAGACTAATACTGCTTGTAGTCCAGAAGAGTCATGTGTTTTTATTTTTTTACTTTTTATTTATTTAATTTTTTTTGAGGCGGAGTTTCTTTCTTGTTGCCCCAGGCTGGAGTGCAGTGGCACGATCTCAGCTCACTGCAACCTCTGCCTCCCAGGTTCAAGCAATTCTCCTGCCTCAGCCTCTCAAGTAGCTGGGATTACAGGCATGCGCCACCACACCCAGCCATTTTTTTTTTTTTTTTTGTATTTTTAGTAGAGATGGGCTTTCTCCACATTGGTCAGGCTGGTCTCGAACTCCTGACGTCAGGTGATCCACCTTCCTCAGCCTCCCGAAGTGTTGGGATTACAAGCGTGAGCCACCACGCCTGGCAAGTCATGTATTTTTTTTTAAAAAAACCTATCAAATGAGTATATAAAAAATTTGATCCTGTTGGAGAAATTTTTAAAATGCAGGATGAGCTCTTAAAGCCAATTTCCAGAAAAGTACCCAAATTGCCCTTAATGAATTTAGAAAATTCTAAACAGCCCTCTGTTTCTGAGCAACGGTCTGTCCCTTCAGATGCCTCTAGTTGGCCGAAATTGGATGGCCTTCTGCATTTCAGAAGCCAAAAGGACGATTGCCATATGAACTTCAGGACTATGTTGAAGATACGTCGGAATACCTAGCTCCTCAGGAAGGAAACTTTATTCATAAGTTATTTAGCCTGCAAGACCTGTTGTTACTCATGTGCTGCAGTGTCCGGAGGATGGAGACAAGACCACGTTCTAAGAAACAGAAGAAAATCGGAAAACAATTTCCAGTTTATGTACTACCAGAAGTAGAGAATCAAGCTGGTTATGGAGTTGAAGCTCTGACTGAAAGTGAACGTTGTCGCTTGTGGACTGGAAGTTGATTGCATTCCAACAGATATTTTACATTGGCCATATCGATGCATTTACTTCAAAGCTTTTTCTACTGGAAGAAATTACCTCAGAAGCATTAAAAGAAAAGCTTTCAGCACTCAAGATTTCCAATGTATTTAACATTCTCCAACACATTCTAAAGAAATTAAGTAGCTGGCAGGAGGGTTCCTACTTGTTATCTCAGGCAGCAGAAGATTCTTCACTCCCAATCCATAAGACCTCTGATGGAAAAGTTACTAGGACAGCATACAATTTGTATAAAACACATTGCAGCCTTCCTGATGTACCTTCCAGTCTCTCAGTTCTCTGGGTCCGATTAGATCCTAGCCTGTTATGACCATATCATATCCATCATGGAAGAATAACTTGTACTTTTCCACCTAAATCACTGGATACCACAACACAACAAAAGGTTGGTGGAACGAGAATACCTACAGGCAGCCACAGGAATCCAGTTTCCATAGAAACCAAAAGCAGTTGCTTGCCTGCTCAGCAAGTTGAAACTGAAGGAGTGGCTCCGAATAAAAGAATAACTTGAGGACTGCACCGTGGAAAATTAAATTTCAAAAAAAAAAACAAACCCAGTTATAACAATGTTTAATTTAGAAAAGTTTGAGGGAAAATATGACTAAAAGCTCAGTAGGCAAGAGGAACATTTTTCCTGTAGTATCCTCACGAGTTCTTAGAGTGTCTTGAAAAAATATGTTGGCTATGTGAAAGAATGCTTCAACTAAAATGGAATGTTATGCTGTTCACTCCTAAACTTTGAGGAGCATCTTGATATGTTTTAACATTATCATGGCAGGGAAATATATAAAGAAGAAAAATATTTTTACATTAAACCTTTTCTAAAAATTGTAAATAGAAAAATAATTTGATTTTTTATCAAGAATGACACTTATCAATATATATTATGTTATATTGCCAATCTGTTGAGATTGACTCAAAAGGTTAAATATTGCCACTGTTGAAGATAATTATGAGTATCGCAAACCTTGTTTCTGACCCATTTTGATAGTTTCTATATACGCCTTTAAAATGATGAATGTTGCGGGTTAATAAAGTTAATACCTTTAAAACTTGGTGAAATACCATTACAGAAGCCAAAAATAAAAACTCCCTGCCTCTGAAAAAAAGGGAGGTTTTTCTTCCTTTCCTTTATTTATTTTTGGTTTACATATTTAATTATAACCTATAACACTATATTATTTATTCAAAATTGCTTCTAGATATATCATTGATCAATATTGTCCTATCCAGATGTCATCAAGAAGGCTGATAAGAGATGCCCAGTGCTCTCCTACTCCACAAAGGACCAAAACAATTAGAAAACAACACATCAAATAGAGTGTATAGGAGAAAACACTGGAATTCAGCAAGAAAGTGATAAAGACCTTCTGATGCACAGAGACTGGAGATGGCAGCATAAAGAGGAAAGTGAAGAGCCTGGCTGGGATCGGCTCATCCCAAGAGACACTCCTCACCACACAGAAAGAGGTAAGTTGATCCCCAGGAATAAATTTATAGAAATAAATGCCTGCTTTAAAAAAGTAGAAAGATTTCAAATAAACAATCTAACAATGCACATCAATGAACTAGTAAAGGAAGAACAAACTAAACCCAAAATTTTAAACTAGAAAATAAATAAATAAAGATCAGAGCAGAACTAAACATAGTAGAGACTAAAAAAAAATTACAAAAGATCGATGAAATGAAAACTTGCCTTTTTGAAAAGACAAACAAAAATTGATAAACTGTTAGCTAAACTAAGAGAAGAGAGAGAAGACCCAAATAAATAAAATCAGAAACAAAAAAGAAGACTAACAACTGAGACCACAGAAATACAAACAATCATTAGAGACTATTATGAACAACTATCCACCAGCAAATAGGAAAAACTAGAAGAAATGAATAAATCCCTGCACACATACAACCTACCAACATGAAACCATGAAGAAAAAGAAAACCTCAACAAACCAATAATGGGCAATATGATTGAAGCCATCATAAAAAGTCTCCCATCAAAGAAAAGCCCAGGACCTGGTGGCTCCACTGCTGAATTCTCCCAAAGATTTAAAGAACTAATACCAATTTGACACAAGCTCTTCAAAAAAATGGAAGAGAAGGGATCATTTCCAAACTTCTTCTAGCAGACCAGCATTACTCTGCTACCCAAACCAGACCAGGACACAAAAGCAATAGCGACAAAACTACAGATCAGTATCCCTGATGCACCTAAATGCAAAAATCCTGAACAAAATACCAGCAAACTGAATCTAACAGCACATCAAAAAAATTATACACCCATGTTCAAATGGGATTAGTCCTAAAAACGCAAGGATGTTTTGGTATACCCAAATCAATAAATGTGATACATCACATCAACGGAATTAAGGGCAAAAGCCATAGGATCATCTCAATAGATACAGAAAAAGCACCTGATAAAACTCAACATCCCTTCATGACAAAAAATTCTCAATAAATTAGGCATGGAAGGAGTGTACCTCAAAATAATAAAGGCCGTATGTAACAAACCCACAGCTGACAGCATACTGAATGGGGAAAAACTTTTCCTCTAGGAGCTGGAACCAGACAAGAACGCCCATTTTCACTACTCTTATTCAACACTGTACTGGAATTCCTAGCCAGGGCAGTTAAGCAAGAGAAAGCAATACAATACAGCAAAATTGGAAAAGAGAAAATCAAATTGTCCCTCTTTGCAGATGACATAATCTTATATAGAGAAAAACCTAAAGACTTCACCACAGAATTCTTGGAACTGATCAGTGAATTTGGTAAAGTTGCAGAATATAAAATCAACATATAAGAATTAATAGCAAGTCTATATACCAATAACAAACTAGCTGAAGAAATCAAAAAAGCAATCCCATTTTTAATAGCTACAAAAAAATAAAGTACCTAGAAATAAATTTAACCAAGGAGATAAAAGACCTCTACAATGAAAACTACAAAACACCGATGAGAAAAATTGAAAAGGACACACCCACCAAAAAAGAAAAATTCCATGTTCAGATTGGAACAGTCAATATTGTTAAAATGACCATCTTAATCAAAGCAAGCTACAGATTTAGTGCAATTCCTGTTGCTACCAAAGCACAGGGGTTCAGTCTAGGTCCTGCTGCTTGCCACACAGAAAGCCAGTCACTGAAACAATGAGTATTGCCAAGGAAGAAGGATTTAACGGAGTGCTGCAGCAAAGGAGATGGGAGATTAGTATCAAATCCATTTCCCTGACTGGCTATAACTAGTGGTTTATATAGCAGGGAAGAAATGTGACAATGTCTAAGAAAAGGGAGGAACTAGGGAGGAGCAAGAAAGTAATCATGATGAATGAGGGGTTTGGCATCTCATTGTCTGGATGTGGTGATCAGGTGAGTTTCAGTTCTTTGATACTTTTTTTGAGACGGAGTCTCACTCTGTCACCCAGGCTGGAGTGCAGTGGTGCGATCTCTGCTCACTGCAGGCTCCCCCCCCCCGGGTTTTCGCCATTCTCCTGCCTCAGCCTCCTGAGTAGCTGGGACTATGGGCACCCGCCACCTCGCCCAGCTAATTTTTTGTATTTTTAGTAGAGACGGGGTTTCACCATGTTAGCCAGGATGGTCTCGATCTCCTGACCTCGTGATCCGCCCGCCTCGGCCTCCCAAAGTGCTGGGATTACAGGCGTGAGCCACTGCGCCCGGCCTCTTTGATACTTTTTTTGAGAGCCCTGAATGTCATCCTGAGGAAGGAACACAGATAAAACAAATGCAAGCTTCAAGCTTTAAGAACAGAAGGATCAAATTCTATGTTTATCCAAAAAAAAGCTATCTATGGGACTACTGGACTGGTTTCACTATCAAAATACCAATGATATTCCTCACAGAAATAGAAAAAATATTCCAAATCTTGTATGGAACCACAAAATACCCTGAATAGCTAATGCAATTCTAAGCACAAAGAACAAAGCTGGAAGTATTATACTACCTGTCCTCAAAATATACTACAAAGCTCTAGTAATCAAAACAGCATGACACTGGTATAAAAGCAGACACATAAACCAATGGAACAGACTAGAAAACCCATAAATAAATTCTCTTATTTACAGTCACCTGACTTTTTGACAAAGTCACCAAAAACGTTGAAAAGTGGATATGCATATGCAGAAGAATAAATCTAGACCTCTCTCTCTCTCTCTCACACCATACATGAAAATAAATTCAAAATGGATTAAAGACTTAAGTTTAAGACCCAAAACTATACAATTCCTAGAAGACAACATGGGGGAAACACTTTAGGACTTGAGACTGGGTGAAGCTTTTATAGGTAAGACTTTACAAGTACAAGCAACAAACGTAAAAATAGACAAATGAGACTATATCAAACTAAAAACCTTATGCACAGCAAAGGAAGTAATCAACAGAATAGAAAGACCACTTTAGGATGGGAGAAAATATTTGCGAACTATTCATCCAACAAGAGATTAATGCTCAGAATATACAAGGAATTCAAACAACAGCAAAAAAATAAAAAAGCAAAAAAAAATCTGATTTTACAGTGGCCAAAGAATCTGAAAGACATTTCTCAAAAAAGGACATACAAATGGGCAAAAAGAACATTTTAAAAAATGACGTCACTAATCATTATGGAAATGCAAATCAAAACCACAATGAGATATTCTCTTGTCCCAGTTAAAATGGCTACTATCAACAAGACAAAAATAACAGATGCTGGTGAGGATGCAGAGAAAAGGGAGCTCCTACATACTGTTGGTGGGATTGTAAATTAGTATGGCCATTATGAAAAACCGTATGGAGTTTCCTCGAAAAACTAAGAATAGAACTACCATATGATCTAGCAATCCCTCTACTCGCTATTCATCCAAAAGAAAGAAAATCAGTATCTCAAAGAGATATCTGCACTCCCATGTCTACTGAAGCACTATCCACAATAGCCAAGATATGGAGTCAGCCTAAGAGTCTATCATCAGATGAGTGGATAAAGTGTGGTAACTACACACAATGATATACTATTCTGTCATAAAAAAGAATGAAGTCTTGTCACTCACAGCAACAAGGATGAGCCTGGAGGACATTATGTTAAATGAAATAAGTCAGACACAAAAAGATAAATACCGCATGTTCTCACCCATGTATGGGAGCTAAAACATTGAGCTCTAGAAGCAGAGAGTAGAGTTATGGTTACTGTCAGTTGGAGACTATAGGAGGAGAGAAGGATAAGGAGAGATACAAAATTACAACTGGATAGGAGTCAGCTCTAGTTTCTATAGCCCTGTAAGGGTGATGATAGTTAACAATAATTTATTGTGTATTTTCAAATAGCTAGAAAAGAGGATTTTGAATATTCCCAACACAAAGAAATGATAAATTCTTTGTGTTATACATGATAGATATGCTAATTACCACAATATGGTAATTATACATTACATCCATGTATGGAAATATCTCTTTGTATTCCGAAATATGTACAATTATTACATGTCATTTAAAAGCAATTTTAAAAAATAAAATTAAATTTGGGAGCAGGGGTGGAAGTACAGGTTGCAAGTGACAGGAGCCAAAGTCCAACTGAAGGAAATTCAGTGGCGAGAAGATCCACGAGGTTTCACTGCCAAGGTACCTGGAGTTGATCTAGTCCCTCCCTATTCTCTACTTTACCACATCTCCATGAGATAACCTAGTGTTCTCCCAATAGGTTCGCTTAGATTCGCTTTTTGTTTAAATCTAGTCAGAGTTGGTTCATTTGCTTTAAACCGAAAGAGCAACTAAAATACACAGCAAGTTGGAATGAAGCAAACTGAAAATGAATAGTAGCTATTGATAAAATGCCTTCCTGGGTTTTGCAAACAGCTGTCAATAATACCTAATCTAATATCTTGAAATAAAGTGTGGCATTTAATTAACAAAAAGTATCCTCTCTGCTGTCCAGGGTTATGGTTCTCTCACCTTAGTGTGTATGAGAACCACGTGAAGTCATGAGTACAGCACGAGTTCCCAAGTCTCCAAAGGCTCTGATTCCCCAATCTTAATTGGGGTCTGTGTCTTTAACGAGATCCCAGCTGGGCACAGTGGCTCATGCCTGTAATCCCAGCACTTTGGGGAGGCCCAGCAGGTGAATCACTAGGTCAGGAGATTGACACCATCCTGGCCAACATGGTGAAACCCCGTCTCTATTAAAAATACAGAAATTAGCTGGGCGTGGTGGCATGTGTGCCTGTAATCCCAGCTACTTGGCAGGCTGAGGCAGGAGAATCGCTTGAACCAGAGAGTAGAAGGTTGCAGTGAGCCGAGATTGTGCCACTGCACTCCAGCCTGGGCAACAGAGCATGACTCCATCTCAAAAAAAAAGAAAAAAAAAAGATACCTATATGATTCTGAGATAGCATTGTACTTTTAAGACTACAGACACAATTATTACAAATTAAAAAATAATAATGTGCCGTGTTTTAGGTGAAATAACTCGTAACAGATTTTTTCTTAATGGAAAAGTCACAAATGATAACACAGAAGCTAGGAGCCTTGGGAAGAAAGCAGAGGAAGAGTTAAAGTACAGTACTGTTGGTTCAAATATTCAAAAAGAAATATCCAGAAGACAGCTTGGAAATTCTAGATTGGATCACAGCGTGGAGGTTCTGCTGGCTACTTTGATTTGAGAGTCATGTGTGTGAGTGACACCCTGAGAACAAGGATCTTCTAGCAACCTTAGTGATGGATGAGAGAGGAAAGGTGGACCTCAGCAACACCATATAGAGGCAGGAGCATGGGAGAAAGGAGCCTAGGATTGATAACGGCGGGTAACAAGAGAGGCAGAAATAAAACATAGCAGTATGCTTTCACGGAAGCCAAAAGAGGATGTGCAATCAAGAATGGATGATAGGGCCGTGAGCGGTGGCTCATGCCTGTAATCCCAGCACTTTGGGAAGACGCGGCGGGTGGATCACGAGGTCAGGAGTTCAGGACCAGCTTGGCCAAGATGGTGAAAACCCGTCTCCACTAAAAATACAAAAAAATTAGCTGGGTGTGGTGACGGGCGCCTGTAATCCCAGCTGAGGCAGAGAATTGCTTGAACCCAGGAGGTGGAGGTTGCAGTGAGCCTAGATTGCACCACTGAACTCCAGCCTGGGCGAGAGACTGAGACTCAGTTTCAAAAAAAAAAAAAAAAATAGGTGATACCTGTAGCCTGTTATTAAATGAATAACTAAATAGGTGGAAAGGAACATCTCTGTCCTACAGTGTTTCTAGTCCCAGACCATGCTCTTCCTATTCAAACTTTAAATTTATCACCTCTAACATCTTGTTATAAAGCTTTTTTTTTTTTAAATCAAGTTTAGTTTTCTTCTGGGTTGAAAGGCACTCAAAAACTAATAACAAAAATATAACATTTCATTTATTTTGATGCAATTAGGATTTCTTTCTAATACACAGTTTAGGGCCTTGGAAATGTTCATCCATCTTAGATAATGGAATTCTAAACCAAACTTCCATGGGTGTGATTTAATCATGTAATTTTCCCCTTAAAATACCCAGTTGAATCAAGTGATATTTAATTTCCTCGCTTTGTATGAAAACATTTTCCTCCCATGCTACCTTTCTCTTTATTCCATGAACACATTATTCTAAAGCACTGTGAAGCCTGCAAATGAAAGCCTCGCACAGACATGAGGAGCAGGGACCATCCCCACCCGTGTCCTGGTGCACCTGTCCCTTTCTATGGAGCAGGGACCATCCCCACCCATGTCCTGGTGCACCTGTCCCTTTCTATGTGTGCCTCATTCATCACTAGGCTTAGTCTTCCCATCTCTTTCGAGACAGCTACTATTTTCTACATGTTTCACTCTGTACTATAAAAGTTAAAAAAGTAAACGTGATATTATGGAAAGTGTTTCCTTGGCCAAAGCAAAGATATTGAGCACAAAAAGCCCTCTGCATTCTTGGTTCACTCTGTTGTGGGACTGATGGTTACCAGCATGTTGAGGGAAACGGCGACACTTGGTACCACAGTGAGATGCAAATGATTCCCTTCGAGAAAGAAAGACAGACTTACTGTGTAATTTTCTTTGTTTTGATGGCCATTGGCGCCATTAAATTGATAGTTATTCCTAACAGACGACTGCTGTTTGAAAATAGAATAGCCAACAGCCTTGTTCATAACCAGTGGTCAAAGTACCTTAGGGGGCTAGGAAAAGCAGGACATTAGAAACCGGGAAACGGCCATTTGCAGTGACTTTGCCCTACTACACAGTAATGAAAGAGCAGATATTAACAAGCCTTGCCCAAAAAGGACCACACTGTAGGGACCATTACCTCTTCAGATGCATGCAGCGGGGTCAGTCCTAGTCCTCCGAGGAAGCATGTGAGCATTATTTCTCTCTTGACCGGAATCCTGGAATGCACAGCTCCAGAGAAATGCCACCCAGAATCACAGTGTGCATTCACAATGCTAGGTAAACAAGAGGGCTGGGAGTTGAGACTCTGCACAGGGCTCAGACAACTGCATGCTGCACAAGTACAAAGCACAGAGCAGGGCAAAATGAGAAGGAAAAGTCCATTGTGAAAACCTAGAAGATCCACAATCTTAGTGAACTCAGAGAGAGGGCAGAGCAGGACTAGAGATGGAAGACTGAGACCTTGAAGAGGATTCTCAGGCGCCGAGAAAACCCAGAAGTGAATTTCTCCCTGAAGACTCTGCTGAGCACAGGGGCCTTCTGTGCAGGCCAAGGTGCTCACCAAAGGGCTACGGGCTACATTCAGCAGAGTGTAAGGCCCTGTCAGTGGCACCCTGACAGGAGACCAGAAACAAAAGTATCAGACCCTTGCGTGTCAAACAATAAAACTCAAAGCTCCGTACATGCCTCTCTGACTTCAGTCTTTCTCCTTCCATCAGATACAAGCCTCTCTGACTTCAGTCTTTCTCCTTCCATCAGATTTAGAGAGGTCAAGCTGTGATATGAGAAAATACAGGGCAGTAGAAGAAGACAGATATAGTGGACACCCTCCCACTAACGATGCCACCATCCTTCACAGTGGGAGACGTTGTTTCTTTCCTCTTGTATTTGGGGACGAAATCCAAGAGGATGTGCATGCTCACTTGCCGGCTTGGCAACCATTGAACAAGACGTCAAGACGGGCCATCTTAAAGGTGTGGGACTGGCTAAGAATATTGGCTAATGACAATTTATATTAAACTCTCATTCCCTGAATATTTTTCAAAAGAAAAGAAATAGGGTGAAAGACCTTGGAAATGAGTCCCTTGGTGAATGAGTGCCCCGTGGGAGGAAATATGAAGATCTAGTGCATTATTTTGTGGTAATTAAGTTATGCAGTAGAGGGGCTGGGCATAGTGGCTCACGCCTGTAATCCCAGCACTTTGGGAGGCCAAAGGATCACCTGAGGTCAGGAGTTCAAGACCAGCCTGGCCAACATGGTGAAACCCCTTCTCTACTAGAAATACAAAACTTAGCCAGGTGTGGTGGCAGGCACCTGGGATCCCAGCTTCTAGGGAGGCTGAGGCAGTAGAATTGCTTGAACCTGGGAGGCAGAGGTTGCAGTGAGCCAAGATCGCACCACTGCACTCCAGCCTGGGACACAAAGCGAGACTCCGTCTCAAAAACAAAAGAAAAAAAAAGTTAATCACTGTAGAAAATCAACGTGCAGGAACCATCTTGGGTTTTGCTCTAACGTAATGGTTAATTATCACTCTCTTTCTCCTTCTGCATCCTTCGGAAGTCCAATAACCATAGCTAGAGCCTCTGTGACACTGTACATCGTGTGTGTGTGTGTGTGTGTGCACGCGCGCACATCTTTCAGTTAGTGTCTTATGAACAGCTACTTAAATAAAATTTTCTTTCCATATTGTAGATCCTAGATTTGAAGGGGCGCCACCAGGAAGACGTTTGTGGGTAGGACACGTCTGTGGTGTATTCAGAGTGCTTGGAAAGGCAGCGTGTTGACCCACAACAGAGCAGGCGGTTGGGGTTGTTCTGCATGGAGACACAGGGCTGGAAAACGCTAACAGAAGCAGCTATGTCAGGTGGGAGGCAGGGTGTTCTGTTTCAGAATTTTAGATAGGGTTTTCCATGAAATTAGCATGGTTCATTCATTTGTGTCACAAAGTGACATACTCCCCTGCCATCTCCCTTCCACGCTACAGAATTTTAAAGTAATAATGCATATGAACTTTGTGAAGATGCCTAAATTTCAAATCCAACTTTCCATTGTGATTTTCCAATAACTTCTTTACATTAGAAATGTCGTCCATTTTTATTCATTTATTTATTTAGAAAATATTTATCAAATGCCAACTATGTTCCAAGTACTGTTGTAGAAGCTGAGAACACAGCAATGAACAAAACAGATAAAATGGGGAAATGGGTTTCAGCTCATTGGTAACTACATAAAAATCTATAGCACTGACTTCTTTCATACGCCCCTCCTATTTCTGATCGAACCCTAATCTCAGTTCCCCCTTGAGGACCATGCTTATGTTTCATAACTCCCTGTGGTAGGCTGGACTCTACCACCCACCCCAGGATAGCCAGTTCCTAATCTCTAGAACCTTAGAACCTGGGAAAATTGCCTTATATGATGTAATGAGTAGTCTGGCCTCCCTCCCTTTTTTTTTTTTTTTTTTTTTTTTTTTTTTTTTTTTTTGAGGAAGGGTCTCACTCTGTCACCCAGGCTGGAGTGCAGTGGTGTGAGCTCGGCTCACTGCAACCTCTGCCTCCTGAGCTCAAGTGATTCTTCTGCCTCAGCCTCCCAAGTAACTGGGATTACAGACTACAGGCATGTGCCGCCACCCCTGGCTAACTTTTATATTTTGGTAGAGACAGGGTTTCACCATGTTGGCCAGGCTGGTCTCAGACTCCTGGCCTCAAGTGCTGGGCCTCCCAAAGTTCTGGGCCTCAGCTTCCCAGCTAGGATTATAGGCATGAGCCACCAGGCCCAGACTGGCCCCATTTCTTGATGTTTGACTCCTGACAGCTTCTAGGCCTCACCCCTTGGTATTCCTTTATGCCCGCATCTGGATAAGCCAACAGGAAAGATGGGGAGCCCCCTCCCTTGGCACTGGTGGGGGAGTCAAACCATACGAGCCCTTCCCACACATGGGAACTTTGACCCCACCCCAGCCCCACCCCTAACCACTATAACATCTTGGGCCAGTCTTCTTCCCTTGCTTTCTTAGGTCACATTGGATCTGCTTGTGAGGCCCACCTGCTCTCCCCAGAAGCCTGAAGTATGTGAGTAATGAACCTTTCATACCCCCTTAGCTTGTGTGTGGCATCATCAGCCTCAACATTCAAATCAAACCTCAGGGGCCCATATGTCTTTGCAGGTGACCATAACATATGGCAAGAAAAGAAAGCCTTTGCAGATATGATTATGTTCTCAAGATGGGGAGATCGTCCTGGATTGTTCAGATGGACCCTGAATGCAATCACACATCACACATATTCTGTTACGAGATGAGGAGGGAGATTTTAGGGCACACAGAGGAGAAAGAGATATGAAGACAGAGCAGAGGGAGATCAAAAAATGTTGACCCTAAATATTGGAGTGATGTGGCCACAAGCCAATGAATGCTGGCAGTCACCAGAAGCTGAGAGACAAGGAACCGGTTTCCTTATGGAGCCACCAAGGGAGGGTGACAGTGCTGACACCCTGATTTTGGCCCATTGATACTGACTGCAGACTTCTGGCTTCCATAATTGTGAGAGAATAAATGTTTGTTGATTGAAGGCATTAAGTGCATGGTGTTTTGCTACAGAAGTCCTAGGAAAGTACTACACTGTCAACTGAGGGCTGTTTTTCCCTTTCACACCCTGCACACTACTGGGCTGCCTCAAGCCCATTTGCCCTGGTTCCTGCTAAAAGCTCCAGTTCCATCAAGGCTCATGTCAGGGGACTGGGCCTTCTGTCACTCTCCCTAGTCATTTACCATCCCCTTCATCACGGGTGATTCTTGTGTCTGGCTTGCTGTTTTTCTCACCATCGCTATTCCTGGTGATTTTTCTACCCGTGTAAATGATCTGTCTTCGTCCATTTTGGCTGCTGTAGCAAAATACTGTAGATTGGGTGGTTTATGAACAACAGTAATGTCTTCCTCACAGTTCTGGAGGCTGGAGAGTTTGAGATCCAGGTGCCGGCAGGTGTGGTGTCTGGTGACAGCCCGCTACCTAGTTCACTGCACACTGCATCCTCACGGTGGAGAGGAAAGAAGGCCCTAGGCTTTCTTGTATAAGGCATGAACTTCACTCACAAGGGTTCTGCCCTCATGATCCCGTCGCATCCCAAAAGGCCCCGCCTCCTAATGCCATCACCTTGGAGATGAGGGTTTCAACATAGGAATCTAGAGGGACACAAGCATCCAGACCACAGCAGGTTTTACCAATACCCAGGACTCTTGGTTCTTTGTCCTCTATTCTGCTCATCTAGCCTCTTCCAGTTTGTCTCTTGTGATAACACGCTGGACTTTTTTTCATATCCAGACTCACTCTGTCTCCTCCATAATCTTTTCTTGCTGTCTCCTTCAGCGTTTTGGCCCCCATTCTAAATATTTTGAACCCACAAAGCCCGCACTCTATTAATTGCACCCCTCCAGCTCTCAGTTCCTTCATTTCCCAGCGTCAATCTTACATCAGTCATTGTCACCACCCCCTTCTATTTACTCTCGATTACCTTGCCCTTTTTCCTGTGCCACATCTGCCTAGTAAAACCACCACAATGATTACATATGGCCTGTGCCTGTTTGTGCTCACACCCAAGGACTTGGAAATGAATACAGAAAAACATTAAACCTGCTGGTTGGCCTCACGTTAAATATACAGGAATGAACTCAAGCAGGCACTCAGGACTGCCCAACAGTGTCACAAGAGTCATTAAGTTCATTTACTCTCCCTCCACCAAAGTGACTTTCACACCACCCCTTCTCAACTCTCCACCATGCCCGCCCCGCACCTCTTTGCCTAACTGTGACTTGATCCTTATTTCACTGAGAAGTTTGAAAGCAATCAGAAGAGAATGTCTACAAATTTCCACTAGCGAGGAAACCACTTCAGCTGCACTGGACCTGTGCGCTTTGCCTCTCCTCCTGGTAAAACAGGTGACCTACTTATGCTGTCTCTAAAGCAAAACTGATTTCACATGGAGTAGATCCCATCCCCTCTTATTGATTCCTCTAAGAATTTTCCCATGTGCTTCTCCCCTTTTCCTCCTGGATCATACGTTTTTGCCTTCTCTAAGAGAGCCTTCCCACAAACATTTAAGCTTGCTGTGTTGTCACTCTCTTAAAACATAAGCCTCTCTCTTGAGAGGACAGCAATTCTCCATCTTGTTTCTTGTTACAGCCGATTTCCTCTGAGTAGTTTCTATGCTCACTGCCTTTACTTGCTCTCTTATTCTGTCTTACATTCCCTCCAATAATGCTTTCATCAGTGTTCCACTGAAACCACTTTTGTCAGCATTACCACCGACCTCCACACTGCTAAATCCAGTGATCCATTTGAGGTATCATCCTTTCCACCTCTTGTCAGGATTTGAAGCAAGTGACAACTGCCTCCTTCTTAAAGTCCTTTCTTTACTTCATAATCCAATCCTAAGTAGATGTTTCTCAAATCGATCCCCTCCTTTTCATCTGCATTACTTATTTTCTGAGTCAGACACTCTCTTTTTATATAAACTACTTATTCTTCTACCTGGCTACTTCTACTCTCTCGCTAGATCCATTTTCTTATCCCAATTTCTAGATGCTGCGGAGCACTGGGGTGTCGTGAATGTACCCCGTTCTCTTCCTCAGCTGTACTCCGCTCCTCGATGGTCTTCACGCTCTACAAGCCATCTATCCATCAATGGCAGCTGAAGGAATACCACAGGCCACCATCCGCCCAGTAAAATATATCCAGCTGCCATTGTCACATATCGAAGTGGATGGTGAATAGTTAAATCAGACTTAACATGCCTGAAACAGTTTCTTATCTGCCTTTATCTGACCTTGACACCCATTCCTTCCAAATATTTTCCAATTTCCATTAGGAATTGTCATAACCATTCACCCAAAATCTCAACTCAAAGAATTCTGACATTTCACATTTTATTTTTTAGTAAATATCATTGGTTCTCCCCTTTAAATATATTAGAACCCCGGCAAAACCTCACCACCTCCACTACCTCCACCCTAGTCCAAAGCGCTCACGTTCTGGTGCCCATGGAGGTGCCTGATTGGCTCTCCCTTCACAAGAACCTGCTGCAAGGAGCAGGCAGGTGACAGTCCCCAGCTGCCACTCTTTCCTGACTACCAGGCCACCCTCTCCCAGGCTCTTCCCAGTCCTAGGAGAGAGGACTAGGTCAAGGCTATTCATGCCTGGAACAGGATTCTTCTAGAGAGCAGCTTTTCCCAGGCGGCCCCCATTGGCCTTGCCAGCACCTCCTCAGCACTATGCTGGGTCTCAGGCTGTCCGAGCTCACCTCTCCTTTCAAGGTCTCCCACTGGCACAACTGTCTGAAGGCTTCCCCTCCCTGCCTCTGCCCCCGTTCCCTTTGTCCTTCACAGTTATGTAGATGGACCTTGCACATCTCATCTTGCTGGGCATCTACCTCAGACACAAACATGGTTCACCTGTACCTGATGCTAATATTTCTCCTTCCTCCCACTATAGCAGCGAGAGGTGTCTTTAAAACAGAAGACCAATGGTGTCCTATGACTCTTATAACCAAATCTAAACATGGCCACAAAACCTTTAAAATATGGCAGCCTCTCCAAATGTCTCCTTTGCTTCTCTACCCCTGTTACATTGGCCTCCTTGCTGTTACTGGGATCCATGTGGCATAGACCAGACCCACCTGTGCACATCTTTCTTCCTACAGAGGTCAGCAATGTTCTTCTCCAAGATACACATGCTCCATGTGGCCAGTCTTTCTTCCTACAGAGGTCAGCAATGTTCTTCTCCGAGATACACATACTCCATGTGGCCAGTCCTTCATTTGAGTCCCTGCCTCCCCTCGGCGAGACCTCCCTGACCCTGACTGTTTCTAAAACAGAAAATGTTTTCCACAAATGTCACTTGAGACATAAATCAAATGTATTTAAACATCCAAATATGCAGGCACTTTTCCAATCAAGTAATCCTTGAATAAACCCCAACTAAATGTCAAGCAAGGACATAAAATAAAGGGATAGAGTTTTGATAGCACAATATACTAGATATTCACATTCTCTGGGAAATATTTTCTTCTGAGATTAAAGTCGCACTTCTCTTTTCTGCAAATTGCAAGACATTGAATATTATTTCCACTCATCTATCAGTTATTTGTAAAATCAAACAAATGCACTGTGCAAATGGATGCAAATGAACTGTGACTATGCGTGTTTGTTTTGTATTCTGACTACAGTGACCATAGGTTTCATTTTAATAACCTTTCTGGTAGCTCTTTGAGAGCATTGTTAGAGACAATAATTCTTCAGAAGAGCACACATTATGAAGATAGAGATTTGATAAAGTGTTTATTATCTTTGTGGCCAAACTTTAAGGACTCATATCTGACACTGATCTAAGAGTATTTGTTAAAAGTGGTCAAAATGTGATTTATTTCTAAGTGTCTTCTGTTGTGTTCATCTGATATTCATTATCTGTAATTTTAAAAAATCATATTATGGAACTATGTGCTTGGCATGTGCTATCAAGAGTCAAATTTCAATACATGGATTACAAAGAAAATACCCTCAGGCACTGAAATGTCCTAAAGATGAGTCATTTTATAACCTAATATGTACCAAGAACATTCCAGCATAGAAAACATTCAAGCATCAAAAAGAAATAGATTTACTAGTGCTCTCTATGAATAAGATTTGCTTTAACTTTAGCCTTTCTTTGGTACTTGGGCAAATTCAGACTTCGAGTCATATTTTCTTTCTTAGAATAGACTTTCTTTTTGAAAAGTGATATAACTTTAAAAGGGAGAATACTGGAGACATCACCTGACCCAGTCACCCTATTGTAAAGTGAATTCAATAAGGTCTTGAGAAGTAGGGAACTTGCTTAAAGCCACAGAGCTAATGGAACTTAATCAACCCGCATTATTTGGAGATCGAACTCCAGTGTAATAACTTCTAGTTAATGTGTTTTCATGAAGCTGTGGTGTTCCGATATAACAGTTTTACGAAAGAACGAGTCACTCAATTTTCCCTCCAAATACTTATATAGCAAACCTCATACAAGACAAAGTTTCTGGCTCAAAGAGCTTTGGATTTAATTTAAAAGATAAGACACATTCACAGAAACTAGTAACAATAAAGTAATGTGATGTGATTAGTATAGATATTGTAACATCTAAGTTGTCTGATTACCATCCTAATGATAATTTCAAATACAAAGAAAATACAAGTACATATAATATCAAGAATATTGAGAGGCTGGGCACAGTGGCTCATGCCTGTAATTCCAGCACTTTGGGAGGCCAAAGTGGGTGGATCACCTGAGGTCAGGAGTTCGAGACCAGCCTGGCCAACATGGTGAAACTCCATCTCTACTAAAAATACAAAAAAATTAGCCGGGCATGGTGGCGGACACCTGTAATCCCAGATACTCAGGAGGCTCAGGCAGAGAATTGCTTGAATCCTGGAGGCAGAGGTTGCAGTGAGCGGAGATCACACCACTGCATTCCAGCCTGGGCTGGACAGAGCGAGGCTCAGTCTCCAAAGAAAAAAAAAAACACTCTGGAAAATTGTAACAAATAGTTATGCTGATTCTAAATATGAAATCCGTTTTCTATCCACTGACGGATTCAGGTCAAGTTTCATGAGGGGTTAAGCCCTGAAGCTCACAGAACATCTATGCTAAGACTTTCCACTGCTGAGGGTCTGAAATTGTTGCATGGAAGTTCAGGAGGCGGGTTGGGGACTGGCCATACAAATCAGAGAAGACCCCAGAGGAAAGAGTGGGTGGCATTTGTTATAGACCAGAGAAGGGAAAGCTGAGCTGCATTTGCAGAAGTGAAAGGGAATGGCTGGGTTTCAGTTTTAACCCTTTTGGTCTCACTAAAGTGGCAGCAATGATTGATGATTTAAAAGGCAAGAACGTGCTCTGGAAGGCATGCCTGATGGAATGGAAGGAGTTCCCTGGTTAAGTGAGACAGTTTTTGTGTGCTAATGAGTAGTGTATTTGTATAGCCAGTCAGCGTTTTTCTTTACTCATTTGTAGCACACTTTCTCCTTATTCAGATGCATTTTACAAGAGCTGCTAATTTTTTTCATGAAAAACAAGTTATTTTGTAATCAATCACATTTTATATTCTAACCCATAGATTAAGGAAATAGATACTATGTCATCTGATCCAAAAAACTCCATTTATGTTCGCAAATATATGGATAAACAAAGTATCAAATGCTTTTTTATGATCCTTTTTTTTAGATTTGATCAATATTTCTTATTGCCTGAAGTACAAATACTCTCAAATCCATTCCTCAAATGTAATAAAATACTTTCTCAGGTTTTTAACCAGAACATGTATAGTAACATCTATTAACATAATTTTATTTATTTTATTATTTATTTATTTATTTATTTATTTATTTACTTTTGAGATGGAGTCTTGCTCTGTCACCCAGGCTGGCGCATTCTCGGCTCACTGCAACCTCCGCCTCCAAGGTTCAAGCGATTCCCCTGCCTCAGTCCCCCGAGTAGCTGGGATTACAGGCAGCGCCACCATGCCTGGCTAATTTTTGTGTTTTTAGTAGAGACGGGGTTTCACTGTGTTGCCCAGGCTGGTCTTGAACTCCTGACCTTAGGTGATCCACCCGCCTCAGCCTCCCAAAGTGCTGGGATTGCAGGCGTGAGCCACCACGCCTGGCCTATAATTTTTAAAAAATACGTAGTAAATTATGTAAAAGCAGGCAACCCTCAATCATTAAACTTTCAAGGAAAATGCTATCAGTTGGGAGGCTATGAATGTTTGGAGGTGGGGATATATTGGAACTCTATTTTCTGCTCAATTTTGCTATGAACACAAAACTGCTTTAAAAATAAAGTCTATTTTAAAATACCTTAAAAATGATGTTGGCATTTAAAGTTAAACCTCAGATCAGATAATAAATCATGTAGTTGTTGAATTATCATTATCGTTCACTTATTAGTCAAGAGAAGAAACACTGTTGTATATTTAAATGGTATGCTAGATTAATAAGGTAAAAACATGTTACATATTTTGATTTTTAAAAATGCATCAAATCAGCAGATATCCAGAAAAGTCACAAGAATGTTGAAAGATATAATCATTTCCTTCAAAATGTTGAGTATTTTCTTAACAATAAATAAATAATAAGAGCTAAAATTTATAGAGTATTAACTTTTTAAAAAAATGTTTTTTGAGACTAAATATCGCTCTGTCACCCAGGCTGGAGTGCAGTGGCGCCATCTCGGCTCACTTCAAGCTCCGCCTCCCGGGTTCAAGCAATTCTACTGCCTCAGCCTCCCGAGTAGCTGGGATTACAAGCACGTGCCACCATGCCTGGATAATTTTTGTATTTTTAGTAGAGATGGGGTTTCACCATGTCAGCCAGGCTGGGCTTGAACTTCTGACCTCAGGTTATCTGCTCACCTCGGCCTCCCAAAGTGCTGTGATTACAGGCGTGAGCCACCGTGTCCAGCCTATAGAGTATTAACTTTGAGGTAAGTAGAATTATTATCCCTGTTTTACTATTGAGGAAGTCAGGGCTTAGACAAAGGATAAGCCTTCTGTGCCACCCAAGGTCACAGAAGTACGGACCCTAGAGACTGAATTCAAACCTCCCACCTGCCTTCAGAGACTGCACACTTAAGCACTGCAGATATGCTGCTCTCCTGGACATAAAATGTGTTGAAAAGATAACCAGTGATTCATTTTAAATTATAATAGACTATTATAATTGGCTCATCTTATCATTGATAACCTTCGTTAACATAAAAATATTATTGAAATAGTTCACTTCAGTGAATTCTCTATAAATAATTTCAAATAACAGCATTTTCAGACAGAATTTTCCAGCAGCAACACCTTACTGCTTCTTTTCTTTGCTTTTGCTTAAGTTACTTTAGACAGCAGATGAAGATGAGGCATGAGCTTCTCACCTCCTTGTCAAATTACATTAATAGTTAAACTTAATCAAAAGGAGATGGTCTGTGTTCATTGAAAAATAGCTATTAAAGTTCCCTTTACAGTAAACCCAGCTCCACTGAATCCAATCATTGAAAGAGACTTTATTTCCATTTCAGAACATATATACAGCCTCGAGCTAAGGAAACCTGTGCTCTGCAAATCAGGATTCTTGTGAAACTACGTTTTCAGCAAATTGGTAACTAGGCGGTAAAATGGTATGAGAAGAAATAAAGAAAAAGCATATTTGTGATGCGGAAATTATTTTTTAAAGGATGAGTTTTTAAGATAAGGTTGCAGCATCAGCTGTGTCTGCACATATTCCGTGCAGTGGTCAGTGGAATCTATTACACACATACCTCAAGCAAACATGTCACTTTTCCTCAATCAGATGGATATTTCTAACAATCTGCCTTTTCTTGCCTTGAAATTTGAGGCAGTTACTGATCTTCACTTCTTTACAGCCCTTTTGCCATCTTCCATTTGCAGAAATATAAAAGTGAAAACAAAATTCAAAACTCACAGAAAAAATATAACTTACACTAACCTATGTCTGTTATTGCTTCTAGTTTAAGCGCATTTCCACGTGTAGCCTTACAACACTATGTTTTGTACCAGTAGACACAGCACTGGCTGGCTCCGAATAGAAGTTGGAAACTTGTGAAAGGCACACACAGTTGAAGAAAGCAGCCTCTGGACTTAGAAAGACTATTCCAAGCTACAGCATTCCTTGTCGCGGGTTCAGAGAATCTTCATGTATTCCCTGAACACTGAACAGAAAGCTGACCAAGAGTGAAAAGGCTAAGTGCGATGAAAAAGATATAAATAAATAACACGAGAATGAAGAAGAAAAAGAGGACTTTCAGTCGGAATTACCAGAATACTTCATAAATAAGGAGACCTATGATCAGTTTCACACCAGATAAATCAGATGTGGATGAATGAGCACAAAAGTATCTTGGAGAAGGGAGCAGAGTTGGGAGCGTGAGCAAAGTAATGTTAATCACAGAGCGGTGATCGTGTCAGTCTTATCACTGGGTGAAGACACTTAAACTAGAACCAGGCTTCCAGGAACACTTCACTACATAGTCATTGAATGAGGAGCATTAAATACTATGCAGATCCGTTGCACTCTAGGAGGTGTGAAAGAAAATGGCAGGTGACTGCACCAGAAACATTATCTGAAAGCGGAAGACTGAACACCTTCAGTGTCACATGAAGGACGGTGAACTTTATTCAACAGGCAATAGAGACTTGGAAGCTTGTGAGAAGTCTTGTAAACAGAACTATGCTTTAAAAAATAAACTGATTACCACAGATAAGATGAATTATAGTTTGAAGAAAAAGTTGAGCATCTAGAGAAGAATCCCAGTGAAATGAAATGAGTGTAAGCCAAAGTCAACAGGATCTACGTGGAGAAGAGAAAATGAATACAAGAGATGTAACAGAGGTTGGTAAGAAATTAACAGTGGTTCAATGCAGAGCATAAAAGGAAGAAGGACAAGTTTGAGAGTGGAAACTATGAATTTACATTAAAAAACATACACATAAGGATTAAAACATTTGGTTATATGCATTTGATTTGCTCTGAGGCAACCTAATAGAAACATAAGAATAATGATAATAATAGTAATGATAATGATGATGATGATGTAATAGTAATAGCCAAAAATTTCATGTCACTTAGTAAGTACCAGGGCAACTATTAAATGCCTTACACATGTTAGCTCACTTAGAACATCTGACTGTGTTCAGTAAGCATGGATTTGGGTGTAATCAACATTAAGAGATGTAGCTGAGATAACAAGATTGACGAGAGATAAAATTATTTTCAGAGTGAGAAATCTCAGGCTTGATATCAGAAGAGACGATGATAAAGCAAATGCAAATGCATTGAAAGCAAGGCTTCTGGCATGATATGCTGTTCATCTATTGGATGTTATTTTCAATTTCAAAAAATATAAATTGCTAATTTGAAAAATACATGAAGAAGGCCGGGCATGGTGGCTCATGTCTGTAATCCCTGCGCTTTGGGAGGCCAGGGCGGGTGGATCACAAGGTCAGGAGCTCAAGACCAGCCTGGCCAGCATGTTGAAACTCCACCTCTACTAAAAATAAAAAAATATATATATATATACACACACACATTATATATGTGTGTATATATATATATATATAATGTGTGTGTGTGTGTGTGTGTGTATATATATATATATATATATATATATATATATATATATATATATATATCAATTAGCCAGGCATGGTGGTGGGCGCCTGTAGTCCCAGCTACTCAGGAGGCTGAGTCAGGAGAATTGCTTGAACTGGGGAGGCAGAGGTTGCAGTAAGCCAAGATTACGCCACTACACTCCAGCCTGGGTGACACAGCAAGACTCTGTCTCAAAAAAAAAAAGTAAAAAGAAAGAAAAAAGAAAAATACATGAAGAAAATATGGAAAGGGAGGAGAAGGTATTTTTGAGAGTTTCAGAGAGAATGTGTGGAAACAAGAGCAGAAACGGGGAAATACGGGCAAAAGAGCTGGAGGGATGGCCAGAGTGATGGAAAGGGCTTTGTGAATCACAAAGGAAGGAGGCTCTATGTTTCATGGTAAGATGAAGCCTAAGGTTGGCTGTGCTCTACTTAGAAACACTGTGACCTGCCAGCTTCTATTCTACGCACCGACTAAGGTCCATTCAATGTGAGGCAGTGCTTCTAAAACCTCTTTTCCCCTGTCTTTGGCTATCTTTAAGGAGCTCAAGAAGGAGCTCACAGATAAAGCAGAATGTGAATCACACTCATTGATAAACAATTAGGAGGCTTTGGTTGAAAAAATATCCCTTGAGCATGGATTTAATTAAGCAATTAGATTAATTAGAAGCATTTCACCAAAGGCTGGTCAGTTCTAAATTGAAGATACCACTTTGCCACCTGAACAAAATGTTTTGGTTATTTACAAAACAGATGCTTGTTGCTGCATGAACATAGTTTAAATCACTTTCTGACAATACACCAGTTGTTTAAGGGACAGCCTTTGCCAAAGGAAGGAAATTCAGCTTAGTTACTCTTTATCTTTTGTCTCCCAAGACAGTGCCTAGAAATCCATCCACCCATTTATTTGGTCCTTCATAACTAAATAGATTAAAAATAGTTATTGAGTACATTCCATTCATTCCAACTCTCATGTTATCGAACAACTTTGGAGAAAATTCTATAAAGAAGCTAATTTACACCATAATAAATTTATTGGCTCCAGCTTTAAATCCATGTTAAATGTTACTCAGTAATATTTTATAGTAAAACATCCAACATGTGGATTCTTGATTACAGAAAAAAAATTGACAAAGTTTGGAACTTAAACATCTCAGATTTTGAGATAACATTACCTTTGACACTAGCCTTTTGTAGAGGCAGTAATTAATGGCTTCTCATAGATATATTAGTGATGCTTATTAAAGAATAATTTTATAAATACAGCACATGAAATTGGCATATTGAACTAAACGCAGATGAAATAGTAAGTTTTCCTGAATGATCTTCATTTTAAATAGTTATTATTTTTTATTTTCAGTATTTACAATATATCTAAAAAGTTGCCTTAAAAATAGTTGCATCTGCAGTAGAACTGAGGGCTGAGATGGATGTTGAAGGGTGAGGAACTGAAAGTATTTTAAAATACATTCAATGAGAGTAAAATTGTGGTGAAGGTATTTTAAATACCTTCAATGAGAGTAAAAGAAGTATTGTAAGTTACTTATGTTGAAAAAGAATAGGCAAAGTTCATTGCTACTTGACCATTCATCCAACAGACAAGTATTTCTTTATCTTCTACTATGTAGCAAACACTGTGATCATAATTGAAGAACCAGACTTGATTAAAGGCAGCAAGGTATCATGAGCCAGGCTGACAAGTCAGCAGGTGGTGTGGTGCTGTGATACAAGCCTAGAGACAGTGCTGGGGAGGGAGCGACTGACTAGGGAGTGATAAGGAAGAGCTCCACAACGGAGTAAATTAAGCTGAGCCTTAAATAATGAATGGAAATTGCCCATTGAGGAAGGGAAAGGTCCAGATGGAAGAGATAATCAGAGGGAAGGTCTAGGGAAGGGATAATATAAGGAATGAAATGTTCCAAGTCATGGTGAATGATATAAACATTGGGAATATGAGGTCAGAGGATTAGGTAGGCAACAGACAACTAAAAACCACGCGTAAGATAGGTAATTTGGACTTTATTGAATAGATGGGAAGCAAGCGGCAATTTTAAGGAAGAGATTAACATTCTTGCCTTCTGGTATAGGATTGGGGAGCAAAGGAGAGGAGAAATTAGCAAGAGATTTTATGAGTCCTTATGTGTTAGGTGAGTCTCTTGAAGGCAGCAGATGGTTGGTGAAGGCTTATCCGTTCTGCAATTCTGTATCTTTGAAGTGGAGCATTTAGGCCATTTACATTCAATGCTAGTATTGAGACTTGAGGTATCATTCCATTCGTTGTGTTATTGTCGCCTGTATACCTCGGTTTTTCGTTTTGTTTTGTTAATTGTATTTTTGTTTTATAGGTCCTGTGAGATTTATGCTTTAAACAGGTTCTGTTTTGATATGTTTCCAGGATTTGTTTCAAGATTTAGAGCTCCTTTTAGCAGTTCTTGTAGTGCTGGCTTGGTAGTGGCAAATTCTCTCAGCATTTGTTTGTCTGAAAAGGACTGTATCTTTCCTTCATTTATGAAGCTTAGATTTGCTGGATACAAAATTCTTGGCTAATAATTGTTTTGTTTAAGGAGGCTGAAGATAGGGCCACAAATCTTTTCTCGCCTGTAGGGTTTCTGCTGAGAAATCTGCTGTTAATCTGGTAAGTTTTCCTTTATAGGTTCCGGTTTTTTGTTTTGTTTTGTTTTGTTTGTTTGTTTGTTTTGCCTCACAGCTCTTAGGATGCTTTCCTTTGTCTTAACGTTAGATAACCTGATGACCATGTGCCTAGGCAATCATCTTTTTGTGGTGAATTTCCCAGGTGTTCTTTGTGCTTCTTGTATTTGGATGTCCAGGTCTCTAGCAAAGTCAGGGAAGTATTCCTCGATTATTCCCCCAAATATGTTTTCCAAACTTTTATTTTTCTCTTCTTCCTCTGGAATACCGATTTTTCTTAGGTTTGGTCATTTAACACAATCCCAGACTTCTTGGAGGCTTTGTTCATATATTCTTATTCTTTTTTCTTTGTCTTTGTTGCATTGGGTTAATTCGAAAACCTTGTCTTTGAGCTCTGAAGTTCTTTCTTCTGCTTGTTCGAGTCTACTGCTGAGACTTTCCAGAGCATTTTGCATTTCTGTGTGTCCATTGTTTCCTGAAGTTTTGATTCTTTTTTATTTATGCTATCTATTTCATTGAAAGTTTCTGCCCTCATTTCTTGTGTCATTTTTTTTTACTTCCTTAAATTGGGCTTTGCCTTTCTCTGGAGCCCTCCCTGGTTAGCTTAATAACTAACCTTCTGAATTCTTTTCAGGTTAATCAGGGATTTCTTCTTGGTTTGGATCCATTGCTGGTGAGCTAGTGTGATTTTGGGGGGTGTTAAAGAAACTTGTTTTGTCATATTACCAGAGTTGGTTTTCTGGTTCCTTCTCATTTGTGTAGGCTGTGTCAGAGGGAAGGTCTGGGGCTGAAGGCTGTTGTTCAGAGTCTTTTGTCCCATGGGTGTTCCCTTGATGTAGTACTCTCCCCCTTTTCCTAGGGATGTGGCTTCTTGAGAGCCGAACTGCAGTGATTGTTTTTTCTCTTCTGGGTCTAGCCACCCAGCAAGTCTGCCAGGCTATGGGCTGGTAAAGAGGGTTGTCTGCAGAGTCCTGTGATGTGAAACATCTGTGGGTCTCCCAGCCATGGATACCAGCACCTGCTCTGGTGGAGGCGGCAGGAGGGTGAAGTGGACTCTGTGAGGGTCCTTAGCTTTGGTTGTTTAGTGCACTATTTGTGTGCTGGTTGGGCTCCTGCTGGGAGGTGGTGCTTTCAAGACAGCATCAGCTGTGGCAGTATCGGGCGGATCCCACACAACCCAGAGGGCCGGTCTCACTCTCACCGTGCCCCCCACAACAGCCCCGAGTCTGTTTCCAGGTAGGGGGCGAGCATGGCTGAGAACCTGCCTCCCAGCTGTGATAAGACTAGAAGCAGAGAGCAGTTTCCTGGAATAGCCAAGGCAGCATCGGATGAGGGTCTGAGGTGAAGCCGTGGAAGTCCAAGCAGTGGCTCTGCCCTGAGATGGAATAGGCTGAAACTCAGCAACTACGTGGATTTGCAGGTGAACAAGAGGACACGGGACAGAATGGAGCAGAGTGGATCCGAATGAAAATGCAAGCGATAATGCTATTGACTTCGTTCATTAAAACGGGAAGTAAAATAAATGTAGGTGGTTATAAAAATGATTTTTTTGGGGCGGGGGACAGATTCTCACTCTGTTGCCCAGGCTGGAGTGCAATGGCACCGTTTTGGCTCACTGCAACCTCCGCCTCCCGGGTTCAAGTGATTCTCCTGCCTCAGCCTCCCAAGTAGCTGGGACTACAGGAGCCTGCCACCACACCAGGCTAATTTTCGTATTTTTAGTACAGACGGGGTTTTGCCATGTTGGCCAGGCTGGTCTCGAACTCCTGACCTCATGATCCGCCCACCTCGGCCTCCTAAAGTTCTGGAATTACAGGCGTGAGCCACTGTGCCTGGCCATAAAAATGAATTTTTTATCCATATTAAGATGCCTCTGGGGAATCCAGTAGACACATTAATATGGAACTGAATCTCAAATAAAATATTAAGCATGGAGATATGAATTTAGAAGTAATCAATGCAGAGATAATTAATGCCATAAAAGCAGATGAGATTATGCTGGAAAGTGAAAAGAGAAGACCTGGAAGGAACAGTAAGAAACTTCAACATTCGGGGAGCAAGCAAAGGACTTTTAAGGGCCAAATATACTATAGTTTAGCACAAAGCTGATTGAATAACATACTTTTCTTCAGCATACTAGGAAATCAAGGATAAAATGATCATATTAATAATAAACAGCACTAATGATTACTATCAGAAATACATGAAAGCAACCCACCATCACATATGTTGGTATTAATGAAGAATTAGGACTTTAACCAATGTAATCATATGACATTTAGCAGGGCATCCAGGAAGACCTGAATCTTGCTCCAGTCTCTAGTCACCTCTTTCTACAAGGTCCACAAAGCATATTTATGTGCAAAAAAATAATAGAAAATACCTAATGGCTTCAAAGACACATCGTTAGCTGGGCATGAGCTGGCAGACTCCATTGCAGAAAACTTGGATAAGACAGGCTGTTTATAGTCCTTTATCCTAAACTCATTAGGTCTAAATGATTTTTAACTCAAAAGAGCAATGCAAACATGCACAGGCTCCACAACACGGGGTCTGATTTTGTAACTAAAGGGAGCACCCTGAGCCCAGTGACGGAGACAGCTGGCCTGAGTCCTAGCAAAGCCAGAAGCCTCACACTCCCTGCTGCCACATTGGCTAAAGCCATCAGCTGGCTGGGCTTTTGTGGTGGCACTGCAGGGACAGGAGAAAGTGACACCTATGGAAAGGCATTTTAACACAGAGTTCCTCACTAGCAGACGTTATCCAATCTGTATCCTGCACTAATGAGTTAACGAGGTACAGGGAACAAGAAAATCTTGCCTGCCCACAGTTGTATATGACTCATCACCTCAGTGCATCTTCTTTTTAAATGCAGTTTTTATGATATTATTAAATTCATGTTGCAGATAATAAGCAGGTAAAGTTCCAAAACACTAAATAGTACCTAAAGTTTTAAAAACAATGAGTGAACAAAGGTGGTTCACTTTTGTTTTTAAAAACATTTTTATTAGCCGGGTGTGGTGGCGGGCACCTGTAGTCCCAGCTGCTCGGGAGGCTGAGGCAGGAGAATGGCGGGAACCCGGGAGGCGGAGCTTGCAGTGAGCCCAGATTGCGCCACTGCACTCCAGGCTGGGCAACACAGCGAGTCTCCGTCTCAAAAAAAAAAAAAAAAAAAAAAAAGTTAAGCATTTTTAAACATTTTAAAAACACTGAGTGAAGAAAGCTGCATATGGTTCTGACTCCATATGTAGTCTGTTTTCTACTGTATTACTCTACCTTATATTAAAACAGCTGAATATATCAGGAATGCACATATTAGGCCTCCTGAGTCCTGTTGCAGTGTGACAGCTGATTTCCATGGATCTTCTAGAAAAGTTTTTAAAAAGTTAACTTGGTACCTGAACATTTGCTATGACTAGAGAAAGTGACCATATATTTCTGGCATATAATTTATAGTACCGGCTTAAAAAAATAATTTCACACCTTTCAATTTGACGTGTATTTTTCAACTGAAATAGAGTCTAACTGTGCAATGGGATAAAACCTTGAATAATTTTAGAAATTGTGTTTAAATATTTGTAAAGAATTGTGCCTATAAATTACCTATATTTAAAGTCTACTCATGTAAAGACACCTATTGCATACATTTAAATGTAAAATGGGGATGATAAACAGGCTACATAGGACTTGGAATGACCATCTAGATCCTCTTTCGCTAGATCCCATGAAATTAATGCTGCCCTGTGATTCTAGGCTTCACGGGCTCGTCACATGATAGGTTTCGGGTCTTTCTGCTTTCCTCAAAGATGAGTGCTCAAGTATTTCAAGGTTATCATTTCTATTATACAAGCAGAATTTTCTCCTGTTGTACAATGATTGGATGTGAAATTTCTGCCCATTTGCATGTGCCTCGGTGATAACTGGAAGCTTATTTAGGAGCATCATTTGAATGTGCTCTAGGCCATGTGGACAGTCCTTCAATTACAGAAATACAGCTCAGTTCTAACTGTTCAGAGCTTTAAAGGCCATAGGCTGATATTCAAAGTAACTGGTTTAAAACGCATGATAGACTGCTCTTTTATTATACTTCTATAAGACACAAGTCCCTTCAAAATGTATCTAATAAAGTCATATTTATTAAAAAGTCATAACCAGTATAATCTGGAGTTTTTAAAAGTCTTTACATTTAGTCCAAGAAGAAGATCTCTCCTAAGTATTTCACTGTTCCGAGTGAGATCATTAGAATATACCAGATCAACTCTTCCATTAGGGAAGAGCATTGTTTCTTCTTGAAAATTATTGACAGCATCATTTGCAAGTTGTTGAATAATCATACAAATGCCCAAGTATTGTGACTGTATATGAAAATCACCTTTCATAAAAAAATTGGACGCCAGGTGCGGTGGCTCATGCCTGTAATCCCAGCACTTTGGGAGGCCTAGGCAGGCTGATCACGAGGTCAGGAGATCGAGACCATCCTGGCTAACATGGTGAAACCCCGTCTCTACTGAAAATACAAAAAATCAGCCGGGCGTGGTGGCGGGCACCTGTAGTCCCAGCTACACGGGAGACTGAGGCAGGAGAATGGCGTGAACCTGGGAGGCAGAGCTTGCAGTGAGCTGAGATCATGCCACTGCACTCCAGCCTGGGTGATAGAGCGAGACTCCATCTCAAAAAATATATAAATAAATAAAAATATGTGGGTTTTTGGAAAAAATTAGAAGTCGGGATATATGTGTTAAAGGTGCTAACAGAAATTTGATGCAGTGTTTGGTCACGTGTCACCTTCTTTATTCCTAAGTTTTATTTGTATAAATTTATTTTGTTATCCTGTTTTAATCAAAATTTTGGACAAAATTTTCTGCAAGATAGTCCCTTATAATTTCTGTTTATAAAATGGCCAAATTGTGAATTCCCGTGTCAAATTGATCCACTTACTGAAAAGCAGTAGCATTATTATACTATACCCACTTATACCTGAGAAGTATGTCTTAATTAATATAGTCTATGACCGTATCATATTCCATTAGAGTAACAGAAGGAAACAGTAAATACAAAATCTAATGTAATGTACTCGAAATAAGAGAGACCAAGGTTCAAATCCAACTCCATCTTTGATCTTATTGAAGTCAGTGAAACAGTGTCAGCCTCAGGGATAAGCAGCTTGCTCATACAGCCTCAGAGGCAGTCTTTGGTCCTTTTTCAGCTGTCTCTCATTTTTCTCATTTTTATAGGTGGAAAAGTGAAAATCCAGTAGAAACCTATATCAGCCTGATTCAACTCATTCACATTCAACTGTTACCTCTGAAATGAGAAAAGGCTCTGCTAATCTGTGAGGTGGAGCTCATAGGAGTGTTGGCGAGACAGTGTTAACTGATATTGATTCAGACTTAGAAGAGGAAGAGAGGAGGCCTGGGACAAATCACCACAGGAGGAGGAATGAGAAGGACAGCATTTGTAAATTACATTTAAATTCCTACTCTGTCTATGGCTTTGGCTGCTCCCAGGAAAAATGATGGGGTGGAGCAGGGATGGAGGGCATAAAAATATGTTTTAAAGAGAAACTGAGTTCTTAGTAGTATTGGCACACACACAGAATACATACTCCAGAGGCTAAAGATTTGTTAAAATAGTATCAGACATATTCTTAAAACCTATGGAGACCTATTTAAACATACAAAAACTAGAAACTAAACTTCCATCCATCATGAAACCGAGAAGTGGCTGCAATCCTAAACTGCGAATTGTGAAAAAATATGTATGAAATATAGTGATATTTGATCAAAAGAGAAAATGGAAAGCTGATACAGCACAGAATTGCTTTCATAACGCATTATAATTTTTCTGCAGCATAAATAATTAACTTGGAAAATTATCAGGTGGAACAAAAAAAAAAGCGAAAAAGTAAATAACAACCAGCTTTGAAACTTCTTACCAGAGTTAGCTGATCTGCAACAAACACTGCTGATGCTGTTACCACTACAACACACAGACACACAAATACACACAGCCACAGCTGGCGGAGCTCACTGTGAGCCTAACTCACCTTGCCTGAAACAGGGACGGACACGGAAAGCTGAGGGGAGACGTGTCCTTAGCAAAGGTGGAGAGAAAATGCTCTGAGACAACATATTCAAAATCTGAAAGTGCCAACTCTTTCAGGTCACTGCCGTGGGTCAGCACGAATTATAGACCTAGATTAGACTACCATTCTGAGAAGAACAGTATAAAGAAATTATGCAACTTGGAATTAATCTATATAGTATGTGGTGTATTAGTTTTAATATTGTAACTACGAGGTATGAAAGATATTGCATTTTGTTATTTTCTTTAAATTAATTCTGCATTAACCTGGCACCAAGTTTGCGTATTGCAAAGCTAGCAGGATATTCTAGCTCATTCTTGGCACTCTATGATCAAACCAAGTTCCTGCCCATCAGGGAGGCCCCTCATCCTCAGATCTGAGTTCGTGCTAGTTAAGTAACTAAGACTGAGATGTTTGTTTTCTTAGCCTTTGTGATTCCTTAAAGGTTGCCAGTTCTGCCATTTCCATAGATCTTTGGGAACCGAAAATGGCTAGGCCTTGGGAGTAGCCACTTTTTTTTTTTTTTTTTTTTTTAAAGGCAGAGTCTCGATCTCCAGGATGGAGGGCAGTGTCACGATCTCAGCTCACTGCAACCTCTGCCTCCCGGGTTCAAGTAATTTATCTTGTCTCAGCCTCCGAGTAGCTGAAATTACAGGTGTGCGCCACCATGCCCAGGTAATTTTTTTGTATTTTTAGTAGAGACAGGGTTTCACCATGTTGGCCAGGATGATCTTGTACTCCTGACCTCAGGTGATCTGCACGCCTCAGCCCCGCAAAGTGCTAGGATTACAGGCATGAGCCACTGGGCCCGGCCAGTAGTAGCCTCTTAAACAGCACCAAGTAGTCAAAGGAATTCTTTCTGAGTTTTTCACACATCCCCAGAGTACTGCTTATGATCATTTTGAAAAAGACCCCTGCTCTTTCCAGAACCCCACACCAATCTTCTTTGCAGCCTCACCCAAATATAACTCCATCACTATTTCTCTAGGATCTTTGTTCTCACTCCATCTCCAGGAGACTAAGCCAAATCCCTTAAAAATTCCAGAAAAACAAAAGAAAAAAAAAACCTCGGTGATCTTAGATAAGGTAACAATATCTTACAGATGACAAAATGATGAGCCATAAAAGAAAGTAGTAATAAATTGTACTTTAACAAAACATAAAACTCCTGCTCTTCAGCCGGGCACGGTGGTTCACACCTGTAATCTCAGCACTTTGGGAGGCCAAGACGGGCGGATCACGAGGTCAGGAGATCGAGACCATCCTGGCTAACACAGTGAAACCCCGTCTCTACTAAAAATACAAAAACAAAATTAGCCAAGCATAGTGGCGGGCACCTGAGTCCCAGCTAGGCTGAGGCAGGAGAATGGCCTGAACCCGGGAGGCGGAGCTTGCAGTGAGCTGAGATCACACCACTGCACTCCAGCCTGGGCGACAGAGTGAGACCCCATCTCAAACAAAAACATAAAAATAAAAATTATTAAGAAAATTAAGGCCAGGCACAGTGGCTCAAATTTGTAATCCCAGCACTTTGGGAGGCCGTGGTAGGAGACTCATTTGAGCCCAAGTGTTGAAGACCAACCTGAGCAACATAGTGAGACCCTGTCTCTACAAAAAATAATAACATTAGCCATGCAGGCATAGGTCCCAGTTACTCGGGAGGCTGAGGTGGGAGGATCACCTGAGCCTGGGAGGTTGAGGCTTCGGTGAGTTGTGATCACACCACTGCACTCCTGCCTGGGTGACAAAGCAAGACCCTGTCTCCCCCCACCAAAAATTAATTAAATAAATAAAATTAAAATATAAACCACAGACTGAAAAAAATTTGAAAATTATATATCTGATATAGGAGATGGACCCAAAATATATGAATGGCTCCTAAATTTCAATAATATGAAAAAAAACAAAAAACCCAATTGAAATCATGGTCCAAAGCTGTGAATAGGGACTTTACCACAGAAGATCTATCAATGACAAACAATGCTATACATCTTTGGTCACAAAAGAAGTGCAAATTAAAACCACAATGAACTACCACCATGCACCTATTAGACTATACAAGTGTTTTTTAAACTGACCATACAAGTGCTGGAGAGGATGTGGTGTAATATACATTCTCATATACTGCTGATGGGAATGTGAGGTGGCACTGCCACTTTGGAAAACATTTTGACAGCTTTTTAAGTTCGATGTAAACCTACCATATACCTACCAGCTGTTCCATTTCTAAGTATTACCCAATAAATATTAAAATCCCTGTCCACATAAAAGCTTGTATATAAACATTCATAGCAGCCTTATGTGTAATAGCCAAAAACTGAAAACAACCCAAATATCCATCAATGGTCTAACCATTCAATGAAATACCACACAACACCAAAAACAATAAACTATTAATAACATGCTACAACTTGGATAAATCTCAAAATATTCATTCTGAATGACATAAATAAAAGAAGCCAGAAAAAAATGGAGTATATACTGTTTTTGGAAGGGAGAGGTGGCAGGAAAGGTCAGGTGCAAGAGACTACCAGGGGCAAGAGAAAACTTTTGGGAAATGGATATTCTCATTTTTTTACTATAGTGATGTTTTATATATATGTATATATATATATATATGTCAAAATTTGTCAAATGTTTAAGTTTAGTGTATGTCGATCATAGTTCAATAAAGCTGTTTAAAATAAAACTAAACACAAGCAGCAATCGTTGATAAAAATTAAGAAAAAATATCATTTAAGAAAGGCCTCTGCAAACATTTTCTTTTTTCTGAATTGATCCTTACATTGCAAAAGAAAAAAAATATTTTGGAGCACATATTTGACCTCATAATTGATTTAAAGTAGTTTTTCTCACTCTTCTTCTTTCTTTTGATGTGACTCCAAATTTATATCTTTTGATATAATACAACCTTCACATTTAGAAGCAATTAACCTAGGGAATAGCTTTATATTAAAAATTTTGAAACAAAGGGAATGATATCAGCAAGATGGCAGAATAGGACATCTCAGCTCTTCCCTTCCAAAAAAAAGGTCAACTAGCAACTATTTCTATACAAGACCATCTTGGCAAAAATTCCAAAATTGTAAATAAACCTGAGACAGAACCACATAAAAACTACATCAGACAGGTAACAACAGTGTCACTCTGACTGTGCTACCCCTTCCCCCTCCCCAATGGGCACAGTGCCACATAGAGAGGATTCCCCTGGTCCACAGTTTCTAAAGTGGAAAAATAAAACATAAGGTGGCCATCCAGCTTAACTAGCACTCCAAGATGCCTCTCAGGAAGCCCAATCTGTTCTCACCTCATGGGAAACATGGGATCATGGCATGACTAGGTCACCTGGGGTCAAATACAAGCAAAGAAAGGAGATGTTACTCACAGTAGACAGGGCTTGTATCTTGGTGGTAGCTCTGCATTACTGTCAGCAGAGGCACCTGATGAGAGGTACCAGTAGTAGCCTCTTAAACAGCACCACATAGGTGGGAGTACCATAGCCCACCTGCAAAGCTAAGCTGGTTACCCCAGAAGCACAGTGGAAAGATCAATCTAGCTTAAATCCCTAGATGCTCAGCCTCCATGCTCAGCTTCAGGCTTCCCCCAACTTCCTCCTGCTGAGAAGAGAGATACCTACCACAGAGTATTTTGGCAAAGCACAGGGACTATACTTGCACCACCTGGGCATTTAAGAGGAGTTTGGCTCAACCTAAAAGTCCATCCCAAGAACCAGACCCAAGAAGACCCTGCTCATGGAGTGAGACACCCACCATGGCATATCTTGGCTACATACAGGGGCTAGACCACCCCAGTCTGGGAGTTCAAATAGCAGCTCACCTCAACCTCAAATCCCACACCAAAGCTACATCCAGGCAGGGAAGTAAACCTCAATATTGTGCATTTCTGCCAAACTTAGCAGCTGATCCTGACTCTCCCAATCAGTGACTCAGCCTAAGCTTAGGACCCAATCTGCAGCCCTACCCAAATTCCAAAAGTCAAACAGCAGTACCATTTAACTAGGGAATACACATTGTGTCTTCATCCAATCAGAGGACCCAGCTACCATCTCTGCCTGATTGCAGAACCCAGCCAGTGGTCTCACCAAATAGAAGAGCTCAGATCCATCTGATCTCAAAGCAAAGGCAGAGGCTCAGCAAGCTAGAGAGTCTAACGCCAAGCTCTACCTGCTTAGCGCCATTACCAGGTAGCCGACCTAGAATCACAGGCTAGACTTCAGTGAGAGTATAACTTTGCCAAAGAATACCTGTAAAGGACGGAAGAGGTGACCATTTCTTCAAATGCACAAGCACCAATGTAAGGACACAAAGATTATGAAGAATCAGAATAATGACATCTCCAGAAGAAACAAATAAAGCTTCAACAATAGGCCCTAAAGAAATGGAGAGCTATGAAATAACTAACAAAAAATTAATATAGTTCTCTTAAAGAAGTTCAGTCAGCTATAAGAATATAAGGATAGAAGATTAAATAAAATATGAAAAATAATACAAAATGAGAAGCTTGACAAAGAAATAGGATGTATAAAAACAAAACCCAACTATATGCTACCTACAAGAGACTTACCTCACTATTAAAGATTCAAATAGACTAAAAGTGAAGTAACAGAAAAAGATATTTCATGCAAATGGAAATAGAAAAAAAAATCGTAAAATTCATACAGAAACACACACAAAAAAGCCTGACTAGCCAAGGCAGTCTTGAACAAAATGAACAAAGCTAGAGGTCTTACACTACCTGACTTCAAACTATATTACAAAGCCATAGTAATTAAAACAGCATGACACTAGTATAAACAGAAACACTGACCAATGGAACAGAATAGAGAGCACAAAAATGAACCGATGCCCTTCGTCAATTGACTTTGATAAAAATGCCAAGAACACACACAATGCGTAAAGAACAATCTCTCCCATAAAGGACAATGAGAAAATGAGATATTCACATGCAGACGAATAATATTAGTCCCACCCTATCTCACAGAGTATACAAAAATAAACCCAAAATGAATTAAAGATTTAAATGTAAAACCTGAAATTATAAAAAGTACTAGGAAAACACAGAGGAGAAAACTACACAACACTGGTCTGGGCAATGTTTTTTTTTTTTTTTTTTTATTTGACCTCCAAAAGATCAAATAACAAAAACAAAAATAGACAAGTAAGATTACAGTTAACTAAAAAATATTTGCACAACAAAGAAAACAACTACAAGTGAAGAGACAATCTGCAGATCAGAAAAAAATTTACAAGCAATACATTATATAAGGAACTAATACCCCAAATGTATAAGGAGCTCAAAAAAGTTAATAGCAAAAAAAAAAAATCCAATTTAAAAATGGGCAAAGAAACTGAATAAATATTTTTCAAAATAAGACATGCAAATGGCCAACATATATACATATATATATATATATATATATATATATATATATATAATGCTCAATATCACTAATCATTAGGGAAATAGAAATTAAAACTATGATATATCATCTATCAGAAGAGCTAGCAACAAAAAGAGGAAAGATAACAACCGTGATGGTGAGGATGTGAAGAAAAGGGAACACTGTACACTGGTGGGAATATAAATTAGCACAGCCATTACAGAAAACAGTGTGGAGTTCCCTTAGAAAACTAAAAATAGGATTACCATATGTTCCAGCAACCCTATTCTAACTATATACCCTTAGGACTTGAAATTAATATGTCTAAGAGATATCAGCACTTCCATGTTTGTTGCAGCATTGTTTACAATAGCCAAGTCATGGAATCAATCTAAGTGTCAATCAATGGATAAATGGAAAAAGAAAATGAGATATATACACACAATGGAATGTTCTTCAGCCTTAAAAAAAAAAGAAAGAAAAAAAGAAAAAGAAAGAAATTATTTCATTTACAACATGGATGAACCTGGAGGACACTATGTTAAGTGAAATAAGTGAGGCACAGAGACAAATACCCTGTGATCTCACTCATGTGGAATTTTAAAAAGTCAAATGCACAGAAGCAGAGGGTAGAACGGTGGTTACCAGAGGCTGGAGGGTAGGGAAAATGAGAGGTGTCGGTCAAAGGGTATTAAGCTTTAAACAGGAGGAATAAATGATATATATTTAAAATGGGGAGCCGGGCACAGTGGCTCACGCCTGTAATCCCAGCACTTTGGGAGGCTGAGGCAGCCAGCTCACAAGGTCAAGAGATCAAGACCATCCTGGCAAACATGGTGAAACCCCATCTCTATTAAAAAATACAAAAAAAAAAATTATCTGGGCATGGTGGTGTGCACCTGTAGTCCCAGCTACTTGGGAGGCTGAGGCAGGAGAATCACTTGAACCCAGGAAGTGGAGGTTGCAGTGAGCTGAGATCCTGCCACTGCACCCCAGCCTGGGCAACAGAGCAAGACTCTGTCAAAAAAAAAAAAAGATGGATATGTCATTGGCTTGATTCAATCATTCTAAACTGTGGGCATATATCACAACATCATTGTGCACCCCACAATTACATGCAATTATAATTTGTCCTAAATAAATAAATACAACTTAAACATTTACACTTCAACATTTAAGCCTAAGAACATGTGGGAAATAGTCTGTTTTAGCTCCATCTTTTATATTCCATGAATCCCTGAAGTCCTACTTGAGGAAAATCAAGAAATTTCACAGAAGTTAGAGTCACACAAGCACTGAAAAGCTTGCGGTCACAAAAAACCCATGTACCTCCTCAGCCTTTCTTCTCTGTGAACATGAGGGGCTACCTTAGTGCCAGCAAGATGGAAACCAGAGAGATGGGCACAGCGGCCAATGTGGATAAGAGGAGACAGACCTTTTCCTTGAGACAGAAAGTGGTATGGGCATACATCATAACATCACAATATGATATGAGTGGCATCCTGACAAGCCTTGAGCTAGTAAAGGATGAAAAACAAGAAATACTGTTTTCTCCGAATAACATAACAGTATCCAAATAAAAATAGCCTTATAAAATTATATTTAATTCTGGATTTTGTAAACATATTTTAAACTTGCAATGCAAGTTAGATTTTTAGAAATATGTATTTCATGTAAATTGACATCTCCATTACCTATTTTATTTGAGTATTGCAAATACTTAAAAAGTTTAGTGGAGAATATTTGCTTAGAAGGTAATTAAGGAAATCTTTTTTTAATGAAAGCAATTCATGTATTCACAGTGCTTTCAGTTAATATAATTGCTTAATATTAATGTGCAGCATAGATGGCTTAAATTGGTTTTCATTTGATACAGAGCATCAAAGCTTTCCATCGAGATTAGATTTCACCAAGTAACCTGCATTTCTAGACACATAAAGTGTTTAAAGATAGTTATTGTGGAAACATTTCAACGTAATTGAAAATTATAGTAGACGATCCCTTCACTGGCCTTTGTAGTCAAAGTTAAACTGTTAAGTTGTTACGATGCAAGTATGCCTAAATGTTAGCAATCCTTAGCAAGTCGGTATCACGGTAGAGGCGGACATACAGTAATCATAGGAACATCAAATGAAGGTAGCCTCTTCTTGTATTATGCAGCATCACTCTGAGAACTAGTAATGTTCAAGCTTTTCTACAGATTCAGAGCTGCTTCCTGAAAATAAGTTTGGTCCAGCCAGAAGGACCTCTTGTAGTCCACCTTGTGCAGAAAGAGGGATGAACTTCCACAAGGAGAAACATGAGTTTTCAACTTCCTTTAAACATCTTGTTTGCAGACTGCATGACAAGCATTTAGAGGCCGTGAGTGTGCTTTCAACCAGACAGAAATGCCTTGCTTCAAGGGAAAACCGTGTGTGCTATCTAGTGCACCTACCAAAAGTCCATGGGAGCGAGAGTCTAGAAAGAAAGAAAAAGGGCGTCTCTCTCTTTCCGCCGCTCAAGATGCCGAAAGGAAAGAAGGCCAAGGGGAAGAAGGTGGCTCCGGCCCCTGCGGTCATGAAGAAGCAGGAGGCCAAGAAAGTGGTGAATCCCCTGTTTGAGAAAAGGCCTAAGAATTTTGGCATTGGACAGGACATCCAACCCAAAAGAGACCTCGCCCACCTTGTGAAACGGCCCTGCTATATCAGGTTGCAGCGGCAGAGAGCCATCCTCTGTAAGCGGCTGAAAGTGCCTCCTGCGATTGACCAGTTCGCCCAGGCCCTGGACTGCCAAACAGCTACTCAGCTGCTTAAGCTGGCCCACAAGTACAGACTAAAGACAAAGCAAGAGAAGGGGCAGAGGCTGTTGGCCCCAGCTGAGAAGAAAGCTGCCGGCAAAGGGGACGTCCCCACTAAGAGACCACCTGTCCTTCCAGCCGGAGTTAACACCGTCACCACCTTGGTGGAGAACATGAAAGCTCAGCTGGTGGTGATTGCACACGACGTGGATCCCATCGAGCTGGTTACCTTTCTGCCTGCCCTGTGTCGTAAAATGGGGGTCCCTTACTGCATTATCAAGGGGAAGGCAAGACTGGGATGTCTAGTCTACAGGAAGACCTGCACCAAAGCTCAAAAAGGCAAAGGCTAAAGAAATTCCCACTAAACTTGGTTAAATGTACACTGTTGAGTTTTCTGTACATAAAAATAATTAAAATAATACAAATTTTCCTTAAAAAGCTAAGGCACACCAAGCCCTAGGCATTCCACTGAGCTCCGACATAAGGATGCTCTTATAGTAACTGTAATTTACTGCATTGCAGTTATTTGTAAATCTGCAATTATATATGTCAATCTTTTCTTAGACTAAAATGCTTCTTAAGAGTGCAGGTTTTTGAGGCCGGGTGCGGTGGCTCACGCCTGTAATCCCAGCACTTTAGGAGGCCGAGGCAGGTGGATCATTAGGTCAGGAGTTCGTGACCAGCCTGGCCAACGTGGTGAAACCCCGTCTCTACTAAAAATCCAAAAATTAGCCGGGTGTGGTGGCGGGCACCTGTAATCCCAGCTACTTGGGAGGCTGCGGCAGGGAATTGCTTGAACCTGGGAGGTGGAGGTTGCAGTAAGCTGAGATCGTGCCACTGCACTCCATCCTGGGTGAGAGAGCAAGACTTCGTCTCAAAAAAAAAAAAAAAAAAAAAAAAAAAAAAAAGTTCATGCTTCGGACCCAGACGCCAAGTATTTGTATGTTAGGCCTGTCATTGTATTTGTTATGTTAGGCCTGTCATTGGCTATGAGGGAGATCAGGAAGATCTGTGCAAGCTACTTCCTATTTCTGTTCCTCTGTTTCCTCACCTTTAGATGGTCAATAACAGTAACTCCTTCATAGAGTTGTTGTGAGGATTAAAGGAATCAATACAAGTAAAGTATTTAATAACACCTAGCACACAATGAGCATTCAGTACATTTAGATAATATTCTCATATTTACTCAATTGCAAATTCTGTAAGTGCAGAATTATCATTTACAATTCTCTCTACTGCAGTGTTTAATACACTGTCTTGTACCAAGGAAACTAAACTGCCTTCCCTCTCTGCTTTACCTAACTCTGATTCATACTTCAGACTCAGAAAGACCTGTCCTGATTGCAGGGACACAGAAACCCCTTCTACATGTTCCAATAAGCACATGATGCCTGTCACACTTAACTTGATTACGAGTTTTTTTAATCTTCCTTACTAATGTATAAGCATCAGGATAAATCATTTATCTGTTGATTCACCATTGTATCATTATCAAATATCTTAGTGTCTAATACATGAGTGGTAGTCAATAAATATTTGTTGAATTATTGAAATCATTAAACAGAGCAGACCCAGTTGCCTAGATGCTAGTTGCTCGTATTCATAATTTTTTTATTTTTAGTTTTTGAATACATCATAGTCGTCCATATTTTGGGGTACATGTGAAATTTTGATATAAGCATACAACACATACAACACGTAATGATCAAATCAGGGTAATGGGATGCCCATCACCTCAAGCATTTATCATTTCTTTGTGTCAGAAACATTCCAATTCCCATCTTCTAGTTATTTTGAAATACACAATAAATTACTGTTAACTATGTTTACCCTATTGAGCTACTGAACATTACATCTTATTCCTTCTATCTAAATGTATTTTTGTACCTGTTAACAATTCTTTCTTCATCTCCCCCACCACTACCCTTCCAGACTCTGATAACCACAATTCTACTCTCTATTTCCGTAAGATCATTGTTTTACTTCCCAAACGTGAGTGGGAACATGCAATATTTGTCCTTCTGTGCCTGGCTTATTTCATCACTTCACATAATATCCTCCAGTTCCATTCACGTTGTTGTAAATGACATGATTTCATTCTTTTTATGGCTGAAGAATATTCCATTCTCTCTATATATGTACCACATTTCATTTACCCATTCGTCTGCTGATGGACACTTAGATTGATTCCACATCTTGGCTATTGTGAACAGTGCTGCAATAAACATGGAAATGCAGACACCTCTTCAATAGACTGATTGCTTTTCTTTTGTGTATATACCCGGTGGGATTGCTGGATCATATGGTAGGTCTATTTTTAGTTTTTTGAGGAACCTCCAAACCGTTCTCCATAGTGGTTGTACTAATTTAATTCCCACCAACAGTGTACAATGGTTCCCCTTTCTCCACATCCTTGCCAGCATCCCTTATTGCCTGTCTTTTTGATAAAAGCCATTTTAAGTGCGATGAGATGATAGCTCATGATTATTTTGATTTGAATTTCTCTGATGATTAGTGATGTTGAACTTTTTTTTAATACCTGTTGGCCATTTGTATCTCTTCTTTTGAGAAATGTCTGTTCAGATCTTTTGCCTATTTTAAAATCAGATTATTTGTTTTTTTGTTTTTGAGTTGTTTGGACTCCTTGTATATTCTGGTTACTAATCACTTGTCAGTTCGATAAACTGCAAATATTTTCTCCCGTTCTGTGGGCTGTCTCTTCACCTTGTTGATTGTTTCGTTTGCTAATTAAAAAAAAAAAAAGAATTAAGGCCAGGCACAGTGGTTCACGCCTGTAATCCCAGCACTTTTGGAGGCCGAGGCAGGCGGATCACGAGGTCAAGGGATCAAGACCAGCCTAGCCAACATGGTGAAACCCCGTCTCTACTAAAAATTCAAAAATTAGCTGGGCGTAGGGGCACATGCCTGTAATCCCAGCTACTTAGGAGGCTGAGGCAGAAGAATCACTTGAACCTGGGAGGCGGAGTTTGCAGTGAGCCAAGATCGCGCCACTGCACTTCAGCCTGGGGTACAGAGTGAGACTCTGGTCTCAAAAAAAAAAAATTAAAAAAGAAAACCTGACCTGTTAACTGAGTACATTTAAAGAGAAGCAGTGAGTAATTCATATTTGCACACTTAGCAATATTTTTTACGAATAGGAAAATTAGCCACTTTCATGTTATTAAGTATAAATCAGGAATGTGTATAAATGAAAGCAAACATCACTGTGAAACAAAAGCTCTAATCTCCACTTGTTCTGCCTTAAAGCCTTTTCCTTCAACTCTTGAAAAGCCCTTTCGTTTTTTCCCTCACCCTGATTGCAGGTAAAACATGACAATCAATCTTGCTTTGTGCTCCATCCTGTACTGGAAGCAGAAAGACTCCACCGTTCCTTTGATATCAGCCATCCCCTGAGATTACTCCTACTCAACAATGCGGCTCTTTCCTTGAGAACGGCCTTCAAAATCCTTATTCCTTTGTTAGTGATAATTCCTTGTACGATGTGATTTTTCTTAATGCTAGCTAGGATTGTGGTCTGGGTATTGCAGCATTTTGAAATTAAAATTGTGCTGAAGGGAGATTTATTTTCTCAACAGACATCTTTCTACAGTGGAAATACTTTTCGTTTTGAAAAATGAGTATATGACCTTATAAAGACTCAAAGTTAACACCAAAATACTAATTGCACAGACATTTCTCTGAGATTGATAGAGTGACCGTATTTTGTTAAGGTAAGAAATCCAGATAAAAGTACATGTTAACAACTCTACAATTATAGATAACTGTAAATACTGTGGTAATACTTTGAAATGTATACTGTATACCTGACTCTTATCTATTACAGTTTTATAAATAATACTGTATTATATACATAAAATGACAGTCAAGTTATGTTCTCTCAATAGGTTTAGCTTGTTGCTTCTCTGTTTATTTTCTATAAAATTGTTATTGATTTTTGTAATCATACCTTGATACAATCTAACTAAAAGAAATACAGTAAGTCACCGATTCTCCTGGACAAATAACTTCTCACTTGTGAAGTTTCTAGTCATCATTTCCTTAATTTTTTTTTCAGATCGATTTATTTTTATTTATTTATTTATTTATTTTTGAGATGGAGTCTTGCTCTGTCACCCAGACTGGAGTGCAGTGGCACGATCTCAGCTCACTGCATCCCCCTCCTCCTGGGTTCAAGCAGCCCTCCTGCCTCAGCCTCCTGAGTAGCTGGGATTACAGTTGCCCGCCACCACACCCAGCTAAGTTTTTGTATTTTTTGGTAGAAACGGGGTTTCACCATGTTGTCCAGGCTGGTCACAAACTCCTGACCTCAGGTGATCCACCCGTCTTGGCCTCCCAGAGTGCTGGGATTACAGGCCTGAGCCACCACACCGGCCAGATCTATTTTTTAAACAAAATGTTTAGTGCTTTTTAGAATTGATGGGACTCAGGGAACATTTTCTCGGGGCAATGGGGGCCACAGTGAAAGAACTATCTAAAATAATTTTAGCATCCACACCCGACTCCATTGTTTTTCAATGATACACATTCAAAAACATGTTGAGATAGAACAGTTCAAATCTTATACAATTTTTATAAGGAGAGAACTTCCTCCCCATGTTCCTACCGCTTCCTTTTGTCCCTCCTTATACCCTGGCCAGACCTTTTGCCTACAGAAATTATTTTTCCATTAGGTCAGTCGTTGGACCACATTTGCCAGTACATGGCCCAACCTGGTCTTACCGGGGAACCCAGGCCCTGCCCTGAGTCCCGTTGGTCCTCAGACTCCCTGCTGTAGCCTGGCCTGGCCTCTAAAGGTGGACTGCCAAGTGGAGGCTGTGCTGGAAATCCTCATCTCCCTCCACTCTTTCCAGCTTCTCAGCTAAGGCTGGGAGGGCAAATCAGGCCGCAGCCTCCTCCTCAGTCCAGCATCTTAGATGTAAGAGAGTGAAGAGGAAGCAAGAGTCCTCACGCAGGCCTCCTGGAAAAAGCCAGTTTTATTATTTATTTATTTTTATTTATTTTTTTTTTTTGAGACAGAGTCTCGCTCTGTTGCCAGGCTGGAGTGCAGTGGCTCGATCTCGGCTCACTACAACCTCCGCCTCCCAGGTTCAAGTGATTCTCCTGCCTCAGCCTCCCGAGTAGCTGGGACTACAGGCACCGGACACCACGCCCGGCTAATTTTTTGTATCTTTAGTAGAGACGGGGTTTCACCATATTAGCCAGGCTGGTCTCGAACTCCAAACCTCGTGATCCACCCGCCTCGGCCTCCCAGAGTGCTGGGATGACAGGCGTGAGCCACCGCGCCCGGCCAAAAGCCAGTTTTCAAATGCAGCTGGAACCAGAAGCGCTCTAGGGGCTCTGCTGAGGACGGGTCCAGCCAGAGAGACACTGGGTTTGATGTGTCGCTGAGTGTTGCTCTTTACACACGCAGCTCCTTCCATAGGAAACCCCAGGGAAAAGGAGGCTGGGTGGCAGGACTGGGGACAAAGCCCGCCCACTCCTACTTACTCTCTAAGAGTGAAACTGGAGCGCATGTCAGGGAATGGCTGGGCTTCCGTGGCCTCCCTTCAGACACAGGGACATCAGTCTTATAAAGACAATTCCAGATTCTCTTGTGTTAGTTCTGAAACTGCCTTAGTCCAAATTGCCTCAGAAACTAGGAAACTATGATATTCAGGTTAGAGTTTAGTGCTCATAGCCAAAATGAGTTGAAAAATAATAACGACAATAGTACAACATAGTGAACAATTTCTAGTGTAAAAAATTTTATGAAATTTTAAAAATAGGCTGGGCATGGTGGCTCACGCCTGTAATCCCAGCACTTTGGGAGGCCGAGGCGGGCAGATCACTTGAGGTCAGGAGTTTGAGACCAGCCTGGCCAACATGGTGAAAACCCGTCTCTACTTAAAAAAGGACAAAAATTAAAAAGAAATTTAAAAAATATATTTACGAGATAGCAATTATTATTACTCTGATTTTCCACGTTAAAAAAACAGCCTCAGGGAAATCAGCTTACCCAAAGGCAAATTCAAAATTCATGTTCTGAACTATTACATAATTTTCTGTCTCAATCAGATATTCTCTTAGAAGTCTATACTTCCCCGATAGTATCAATGCATGAAATTTTAACACAAAATGTATTCATCTGCCTCCCCCTAAAAAAATGGCAAAACAAAATAAAAGAAATGAAAAACAGGGGAGAGTAACACTTTAACACTTACCAATCATGTTTATCTCAAAGTGACAGATCATAACAAATCATAGACTAGATCCTGATAAAAGAGACTGCAATGTTTCTGTAGCATGTGAAGGATTGCAGAGCAAAAAAGACCTGTTCCGGACGATACACACTAAGTACTTCACAATTTTGCCTTATGCTAACCTTGCCTATAGGGACTTTTCTATTTTTTTTTTTTTTTTTTTTTTTTTTTTGAGACGGAGTCTCGCTCTGTTGCCCAGGCTGGAGTGCAGTGGCACAATCTCCGCTCACTGCAAGCTCCGCCTCCTGGGTTCAGGCCATTCTCCTGCCTCAGCCTCCCGAGTAGCTGGGACTACAGGCGCCCGCCACCATGCTCTGCTAATTTTTTCTATTTTTAGTAGAGACGGGGTTTCACCATGTTAGCCAGGATGGTCTCAATCTCCTGACCTCATGATCCGCCCACCTCAGCCTCCCAAAGTGCTGGGGTTACAGGCATGAGCCACGGTGCCCGGCCAGTTTCTTTTAATCTCACGCATGTCTTCTTTTTCTCCCTGTCCTCTGTCCTATTTGTGTTCCCTACAGTTCCTTCTTGCTCTCACTCTCTTCTCCCTCTTCATACTGCCCAACACACCTCATCAATGTTGAAACAAACTCAAACAACACATGTCTTTTTCCATCTTCCCTGTAACTACTATGCTCCACATTTCCTTAAATTCCCTTCTCCTGTCTGGTGTGGCCAAAAGAGAAAGAGAAGGGAAATATCACAGCATTCTACCACTGATGAGAAAACAGAAAAAGAAGTTCAAATATTTGTCTTTGGGTAAGCAGAGATATATATTCTCTTCCCGTCCTTATAAGAAAGTTGGTGCAGCTTCCTTGACATCTTGCCTTTACTGACATCAGAGAGTCCTTGATTCCTTATGAGGGTTACTGGCAGAAATGACCCTGATAGAAGCTATTTAAGTGACATGGTAACACAATTAGGATGCAAGTTATCTTTATGGAGGAAAACTTCTTCCAGAACCTGATATAGCATCTGTGTAACACAGTAAATGTCTGCTTGGAATCATACCAGGCTGAGTAGAAGCTCTAGAAAGCGCATAAACATCCCTCTTTCTCACATCCTTCTTTTCTTTCCCTTTCACACAGTGCCTAAGGGAGTGCGGTTTTCACAGTGAATTCTCAATAAACATATTTGAGGGTCTCTGTTGAGTGCGCAAAATATCGATGAAAGCCAAGTCATAAAGGATCAGGCTTCACTGGGGAAAAGGCCAAAGACATTTTCCTCTGCTCATCTCCCTCCTGGAGTGTTCAGGTAGCATGTTTCATTAAAGAGTTTTTTCCAGTAATCATTTCTAGCATCCAGTGATACAGAAAATAATACCTGAGTTTTCACCAGCATTTTACTCTTTCTTCGGCTTTAAGATGTTCAACCACATGAATAAATACCTGAATAAAAAGCAAACCTAGAGTAATCCTTTATCATTTCTCCTAACCCCTTTGATATGAACTTTAAGAACATCTACAAGCATGGTTGGTATTTAGATAATCCATCATTGTCAAAACATTTTAGTTCATATTTCTTTATTCTTATGACATATTTGTGAAACAGATCAAGAATTATAAACTCCATTTTGCAGCTAAGAAAACTAACGCTCAGGCAGATTAAGGGTATTGCACAAGACTGCGTCTCTTAGGAGAAACTGAGTTAGGACGGATCAAAGATATGCTTTCTTCCGAGTCTGTGACCCTTCCACCACAGCGTGCTGCCTGTTCCTAGGAAAGGGTGACACTGACCATAAATCTGTATTGAGGTTGGACTGAATAATATTCTCAATTAGTGGAGTTGACCTTCCATTCCCCTTTCCTCTTCAGGGTGAGACCTCGGCTCTCCTCACTTTCAGCTCCTACCTGCCCTCTAGAGTCGTATGTGTCCTCACGCTGGCCCTGGCTGAATAGGTTGCCCATTGCAAGGCCATTCTTACGCTTTCTACCCTGTGGCCCAGAAATTCTCCTCTTAATTCTGTCCCCTTCAGTGTTATTCAGACTGAATTGGCCTTGTGCATGGAACACCAGTTTCAGAGCCTCACTCACGGTAGGCACATGCAGGTATGGATTGAATGGAATTCCATGAACCCATTGTCTTGGGACATACTGAAATCCTTTAAGAACATTTTGAAAAATATAGCGAGAGAAGCTGTTTTAATTTTGGCTTTCTATAACGTTACTTTTCTTTTTTCTCCACTCTCTGGCACGACTAATTGATAAGACACATTTTCAGTAATGGTGACTCACTCTGAGAGTATATCTCACTGTGATTATGCCAGAAAACTCAGAATCAAGTATGAAGCTTGAAAACATTTCTTCCCCAACTGATTATAACTGTAAGGAGAAAGACCATCTCTACTTCTTTAGAGTGGTTCCCCCACTCCTGGTATTTGTATTTCAACAGGCACATTTAATACCTTCACCCAGAGGTGGCTTCAGACAGAGTGGTAAGTTAGTTGTGGGATATGCGGGTCAGGTAGAAATACTTCAAAGGTGGGCTTTCCATGCACATAACTACTTTAATTTCACCTCTTCCAGATTTATGACAAATGAGCCGCTGATGAATGTTTGTTTTAAATAATATGGAATTATGCACCGATGAAAAGAGGCTACTAGAATGAGAGAGTGCAAAGACAGAGGGAACCGGAAGAGAAGAAAATTAACCTTGATTGAGCAGTTACTCTATTGTCAAGTAACTTATATGCACTAATTCTCATTAAATGCTGGAAGTTGTTAATAGTACTTTTATGATGTAGGTGACAGAACTGGGCTCGGGGATGTTAAGTGTCTTCTCCCCTGCTCACTGCACAGTACATCACTGTACACTCGAGCAAGCTATTAAACAGGGGCGCTCTACGTGCTTCATGTGCAGTGGTGGACAGATTTGAATCCCAAGTCCCTCGTCCTCCCACTGGAGGCTTCTGGATATATAAACAGTGCCAGGAGGCTGGCCATGGTGGCTCACGCCTTTAATCCCAGCACTTTGGGAGGCTGAGGCTGGTGGATCAGGAGGTCAGGAGTTCCAGACCATCCTGGCCAACATGCTGAAACCCTGTCTCTACTAAAAATACAAAAATCAGCCAGGCGTGGAGGTGCGCACCTGTAATCCCAGCTAGTCAGGAGGCTGAGGCAGGAGAATCGCTTGAACCCAGGAGGCGGGGGTTGCAGTGAGCCAAGATTGCACCACTGCACTCCAGCCTGGGCTGGGCAAGACCATCTCAAAAAAAAAAAAAAAAAGAGTGCCATGTGTGCTGTAAGTAGATGTAAGTAGACAAGGACAAAGAACTGTGCTGGACTCTTGCTACCCTGAACACTACGCCAGTGGTACCATTTTATAAGAAAGAATGTTTGCTGTGCAATATCCAGTCTACCAAAATGGGATGAAACATAAAGATACGCCAAATATTATACATTGGAATCTAGTCAGATTCTGTATTACAAACCTTAGAATAAAGTGAATGAAACCTAGAAATATAAAGTTATTGTCTAAACTTAAAAGAATGTTTAAAATATAAAGGGCCATGGATGATTACGTTTCTGAATTTCTAGTCCAACAGTTGAGCATCTATTTCCTTTCTCAACCAGGAACTGAGGACCTAAAAAATTAAATGATTGGCCTTCATATACAGTGGTATCTGCCACACACACATATATTTTCAAAGCAGATTTCCCTGGGATGTCAAGGTGCCCTTCAGTAATTGCGGGTCTACCTCTGCAAGCTATCATTATGAAGATTAATTATTTGTGTAATACTGATGGATCTGGCACTGTACCAGGCATAAAGAATATGTGCTCAGGGCTCAGGAGACACACAATCTAAATTAGAAAGACAAATCGATGTTTTAAGAGTTCAAGCGGTGATTAGAACCTTGAATTGTAAGTCACCATGTGCACGTTTATGAAAAATGTTCTTCTCCACTTTCACTGCCTTAACAGCTCATAGATATCACAGAGATGGGCAACTGATGATAAGAGCATTTGTGAAACTGCATGCAATTGCTTGAGAATAGTATTCATTTTAGTGAGTTAATTACTGGACAGTTGTTTACAAATTTAGGATCAGATTGGCCCATGGATGAATGAATTTTGGTTGAAGGAACAAGAACATGAGAGGCCTTTGAGATCCTTGCTGGTAATATTTATACTAACCAATGTTCCATTGTTTCCCATAGGGAGCTGTTGGATTTTTCTGCACCTGTTGATTGGTGGTAAATATTGTCTGAATTATCCTGACAAAATATAAGATAGAAAACATCTCTTCAGGGGCACCAAAAGCTCAGGAGTACATAGGGAGCCAGAAACAAAACAAGTTTTTAAACTTCAGCATTGAAATGCAGCCTGGTTTAAAGTTCCTGAAGGCTATTTTCTACCTGCCATCAAACACACTGTATTCATCTGGCCCATGTTAATGCCAAATAATCCCAGAAGAGCCATTTTTAAAAAATTGTTAAGAGCATAGATTTACCATCATCACAACTGATTTCAAATCCTAGCTCTGTCTCTTACTGCCTGGATGACTTTGAGCAAGTTACTGGAATGTGAGGAGCCTCGATGTCCCATTACACAAAAGGAGAACGCTAAGACCAATGGTTTAGAGTTGTTTTAGGGTGAGATTGGTTTATTTTTGTAAAGGAGCTAACGTGATGCTTGGCACGGCACAGTTGCTCCATAAATAATAGATGCAGTTATTATGATTATTGTTAGTGTTCTCACTTATGCACCTTAATTAGTTTTGTGCTGCTGTCCACCCGCAGAGAGTTAAAACTGCAGTTCTCAGTAATGTGCCATAAACAAAAAACTGTTTGCTTTGAAAGCAGACAGAGTTACGCCTGAACAATGGACCAATTTTTTCAAGAGGTTAAAATTCACTGAGCCTCAGTTTTTTTTCATTGGGAAAAGAAAAAGAGAATAAAGCATGACTCACAGGACAGTTGTGAAAAATCAAATAAGAAATTATGTGCGCACAAAGGGGCTGGAATATCGTAAGCATCCAGAAAATGTTTCTCGCAAACACATAGCTTTGTCCTAATAGATCTTCACATTTTATTGTATTTGGGTGTCCATTTCATTCACTCCGTGGTACATGCTTGAAAGGAATCAGCTGTTTTATTATCTCCATAATCCCAGTACCTGAGTAGTAAGTGATCATTGATTTTGCTGAGTGAATGAATGAGTAATTAAATGCATATTTTACTTATTCCTCAATAATGACCACTAATTAGCATTCATCAGTTTCTGACAAAAAGAAAAAAATTAAAAACAAAACAAAAATGACCACTAAGAAGAGGTTAAAATTATAAGTTAATAGGCTATCCAATGTTTTCATTTTAGTTCATAAAAAGAGAATCCGTACTTACATGCAATATACAAGAATTTCTTTTCTTTTCTTTTTTTTTTTTTTTGAGGCGGAGTCTCGCTCTGTCGCCCAGGCTGGAGTGCGGTGGCGTGTTCTCGGCTCCCTGCAAGCTCCGCCTCCCGGGTTCCCGCCGTTCTCCTGCCTCAGCCTCCCGAGTAGCTGGGACTACAGGCGCCCGCCACCGCACCCGGCTATTTTTTTTGTATTTTTAGTAGAGACGGGGTTTCAATGGGTTAGCCAGGATGGTCTCGATCTCCTGATCTCGCGATCCGCCCGCCTCGGCCTGCAAAGTGCTGGGATGACAGGCGTGAGCCACCGCACCCGGCCTATCTGATCATTAATTTTAAAATGCCTCCTATTAGACCTTGTGTAAGACCTTAGGAATTAAGTAGTGAGCAAAACAAAGACGGCCCCGACCTTCATGGAGTTCCAGCACAGTGGAGAAGACAGACACTAGCCAAATGATGGCCACAATAAATGCAAAACTACCGCTTTGATCATTGCTATGTCCATATGTTCACAATGCCATGGAAGCACATGTAAAAGAATGTCCAATGAGACTTTTTTCTTTTGCTTCAATGTTTTGACTGAGGTCCTCTCAGTTGATGACTATGTAGAAGATAAATAACCCCTTCCTCTGAGCAAGACTCAGCGAGAGGAAGCCCAGAAGTCTCTATCAATCCAAATCATCTACCTTCAGGCCATGAAAGAGAGGACCAGGAAGTATTTCTGAGAGAAGGTCCATTGAAAGAGAGCTTTCCTGGACTGGAATTCCCAAGAGTAATTATTCTGCGGCAGCTTCAATGACTGCCCCTGCTCCCCACAAATTCAAGTCACATATATGCTTCTGTTGGAGCTGGGGTTGTTTCCATCAGAGCAGGTTTAAAGCGCACTCCAGGCTTGGGTGCTGAGCTGCAGAAACTTGAGGGCTCCTCCATACACTCGAGAGCGTCGGCTGCGTTCTCCAGAGTTGCGGGGCCTCGTGAAGCGGCCGCTAGTGCTGAGTCTTGACAGCAGATGGGAAAGGTGGGCGGCAAGAGCCGGGGGAGGCAGCAGGACCGCCCTCCCGGGCGGGGCGGGGCCCCCACGCCTCAAGCAGGTGCTGCGCCGCTAAGCTCCAGTCGCCCTGCAGGGACCCGCTCAGCACAGGCAGCCTTCAGAGCAGGAATGAGGATGGCCAAGGGTTCGTATGGAAGAGAAATGGCCTTCGTTGGGGGTCCCATACAGGACATCGGAGAACTCCTAAGGGGACAACTAGGACGCCTGTCATGGCAGGAAAAGGGAACGTAATAGAATGAGTTTGAAGGAATGGTAGAAAAGCAAATGAGAAACACCTTCTGCCTTAGTTGAGGTAAGTAACACAGTCCTCCATCCGCGGTCACGCCTTTCCTGGATCCAATTTTGTTTGGCCAAGTTCTGTTTTTTTAAGGGAGAAGGGGAATGACTTGAGTTAAAATACCTGTTAAACGAAGGAAAGCTCCGGTGAAGCTGAAGTACGAGGACAGTAGAAGTAGGTGGGGGTGGGGGCTGAACACTGGGGCGCAGAGGAAAATGTCTCATTAGCGACTGGAAAGTGTGGAGTTGGGGGGCCGGGCGCGGGGGCTCACGCCTGGAATCCCAGCACTTTGGGGGGCCGAGGCAGGCGGATCACCAGGTCAGGAGATGGAGACCATCCTGGCTAACACGGTGAAACCCCGTCTCTACTAAAAGTACAAAAAAAATTATCCGGGCGTGGTGGCGGGCGCCTGTAGTTCCAGCTACTCGGGAGGCTGAGGCAGGAGAATGGCGGGAACCCCTGAGGCAGGAGAATGGCGGGAACCCCGGGGGGCGGAGCTTGCAGTGAGCCGAGATCGCGCCCCTGCACTCCAGCCTGGGCGACAGTGAGACTCCGTGTCAAAAAAAAAAAAAAAAAAAAAAAAAGAAGAAGAAGAAGAAGAAGAGAGAAAGTGTGGAATGGAAACAAGGTCCATAGTGGAAAAAAGAAAACGTGGAGGTGAGACAAGGAAGTCGATCCCAATAAAAGCTTGGAGGATCAGAAAATTATCACAACTGTCCAAACTATTTGTCAAGAAAAGATGAAGATGCTATTATTGATACTCTTAGTGAAAATATGCTGGGTCCCAGTAGCCAGAAAGTTGATTAAAAAAAAAATCTTGCATTTTAAAATTTAATGTACAATCTGCAAAATACATTTGCATACATATTTAATTCACTCTTAAGCATGGGGTGAGCAGGGAGAGCTAGGGAGAAGCCTGAGAGCACCCCTCTGTGTCCAGGATAAAGGGGAGCATTGGGGGGTGTGGGGAGTGAGGATTCACCTCCAACGGGAGGAGCCTGATGTACGCGGGTTTCCTGGAAGGCTCTCTCCGCTGATGATCTTGTAGTTCCCACATGAAGAACACCTTTGTGGAGCCTCAATTCTATCCTAGGCAGTTGCTGTATCTAAAAGAGTCTCCCAGGATTTTGGCCTTTTTCTGGAACAACAAACGGCCAGTGACAGTGGCACCGCTAGGCGTCAGATTTCCTAGCAGCCCGCTTCACATCTGGAGCAGCTCCTTCTGGTTCAGTGCCTTGTGTGATTTCTGTATCCAAATGGTGTTAGTTTCTTGGACCAATTTACCCATTGATCAGCTCTCTCACAGGTGAGGAAGTGGGAACCCATTATAGGCATATATGAAGCCTGACAACTGGCTATGTGCATGGAACTCGGCATAGCAACCTGCTTTACACCCAGATGACTTGCAGTGTACGTTTAAAAATCAAAACTATTCCCACTATACATCCAACCTAGCTCAGTGTCCAATCGCAACTCTATCAGGTAAACTAATCACACACTCCTTGCTTGTCATACAATTTCTCCTACTGACTTCACACACTATTTTCAACTGTATCTTTAAGATATGTGTATTTTTCTTTTCTCCCTCTATTTTCACCAGGGCTGGGGCTGTAGCTTTGAGTTGTCCTCTATATCTTAAACTCTGTTCCTGTTCATGCCCTCCCTCCTGCTCTCCAGGCTGTCCTCATAGTCTCAGCCATCAGCAGGAGCTCCCCCATCCTGGGCCCTTCTATCCCTGGAAAGTTACTCTGTAATCACTCTCCCTCATTTTCTATATCCTTGGGCAGCCCTACTGAGCTCTCAAGCTTCCACACTTCACTGTTCTTTTTTCTTGCCTAGAAGGAGATTTGAAAGCAGAGTGACATATGATTAATCACATGCAAATTCATGCACGTCTTTTCTTTAAAGTGCTCTTTCATGGAGCAAACACAGATTTCCAGATTGAAGACATTGTAGCAGCTTAAACTATATTGTTCTGTTATTTTTTAAAAAAAATATAGACAGAATAGATGATGCTCAATACAGTAATATGAGGAGAGAGATTTTTAAAAAATAAGACATAGTCATTACTACAAAGAGAATACCATATGGGGTACAGATAAGAAAATGTCATAATAAATATAATATAAACAGAACAGGATAAGTCTCAAGAGAAGTCCAAAATGCGGGTTATGGGATACTGAAACGAGCATATTCAAAAAGCTAGATCCGAGCATCCTTTAGGGAAAAGGTACATTTGAGATGGATGAAATGAATGGCAAGGGGGGTTGGGAGAAGGCTAAAAAGGTTGGAGAAGGCATTCCAAGGAGAAAGTAGGAGGAAAAGAACAAATCGGGATGTATAGGGTTATCAGGGAACAATAAGTAGCCCATCTGGAATTTTGAATGATCATTGGAGCCATGTCTTAGTGAGTCCAATATGCATGGGCTAGGAATTCATAAAATTCATAGGCAGTGATAGCCCCTGAAAGTGTTAGAACAGAAAAGTGGAATGATCAAAATTGATCAATGAGCCTGTTAAACTGAATACCCCTATGAGAAAAAGAAACATTATATTATTACAAATGTTAAGGGGGTTCTATCAAAATAATTCTGTTAGTGGAGTTCTTGGGAAATAGAATGTTACATGTAGCCAAATGTCCTGCCTAACAGGATATGTGTATTACCAATTTACAATGATTATAGTACAGAAATATTCACTTACCATAGCATATGGTATACATACCATGAACATAATACATATACATACCAAGAACATAATATGGCTTTTTTATGATTCAGAAAGAATTTCAGAAACTTGTAGCACATCTGAGTTACTATAATGGGTACATGCTGTTGACAAGTTTATTGGGACTGTTTCATGAAGTAGTTTAGATAAATACCTGCAGCAATCGTTTTGTTTCATTTTATTATAGATATTAGCCAATCCCTGCAGCTGAGTCAACGTTATAGTCACAATTTAGTTATGCAGACATAACATTTTAATTTTTCCATAATTGAGCTCAGTTTCCTCTGATTCTACACAGGGTAGCTTCTGCTTATGTGGATTGACCTGAAGCTTTACTACTTCAAGGTAATGCAGTCACCCTGCTCTAAAATTTAGATGCTTACATAGATACTTAAATGTAATATTTTGGTTTCTCTCAATGAAAAACTTAAACTTATATCTGAACTGATTCTCACTCTTAAAGATACACCTCTCCTCCCTTAGTCTGAGGGCAAAAAGATTATAAACACACACACATATTGGGAAAGAGGCCCCTAGCCTTCAGTCTTGGCTTTCCCAGAGATGTCTAGTCTTACTGGGCTTACGAGCTCCTCCTTTGCTTTCTTTCTTTTCTTTTTTTTTTTTTTTTTTTGAGACGGAGTCTGGCTCTGTCGCCCAGGCTGGAGTGCAGGGGCGCGATCTCGGCTCACTGCAAGCTCCGCCTCCCGGGTTCCTGCCATTCTCCTGCCTCAGCCTCCCGAGTAGCTGGGACTACAGGCGCCCCCCACCACGCCTGGCTAATTTTTTGTATTTTTAGTAGAGATGGGGTTTCACCCTGTTAGCCAGGATGGTCTCGATCTCCTGACCTGGTGATCCGCCCGCCTCGGCCTCCCAAAGTGCTGGGATTACAGGCGTGAGCCACCGCGCCCAGCCAGGAGCTCCTCCTTTAATACCAGTGAATCTGCTGCTGATGTCAGCATCTTTCCACGTGTGCTGTGTCCCACCATTGCTACTTAGAGCTTAGTCACATCTTCCCCAAAAGGCAGCACTTCCTGTCATGCACTTTGCCTCTTATGTCTAAAATATTCTCTGAGGGCCTATGGAAAACCTCCACTACCCAGACCCACGTCCAATCCCCAAGCTCCTTCTCCTGTTCCAGGAAATCCTCCTATTTTCTTTGCTCTGTCATGGAAACCTCTCCTTACTTCGTAGCCTCTATCCTTCCATAGTTTCTGACATACACCCAGACTTGGTATTCAAAACATAAATTCTGGCTCTTGCTATTTTAAACCTGGAATTCAGAAAAGTCTATTTTCTCTCAAGTGCTTGGCTCTTGCAGTTTTTTAAAAGCCTAACTTTCAAAACTGCTGTTTCCTTTTTGTTCCTTTTCAAAGTTTATTTTGAGAGTCAAAGCTGATCAATGAGGTATATGTCAAAAATGCTCATGAAGTTTTCTTTTTATCCAAAGAAAGAATATATAGAAAACTGTTGACACTATTTGACTAGTGGGCTTAAGGATAAGGTAAAGGGTACTAAAAAAGGCTGACTAGCAAACTATTATCACCCCCATATATGGAATATATTAGTCTGCTCAGGCTGCCAAAACAAAGTCTGACACAGTCTTGTGACCTAGACAACAGAAAGCTATTTTCTCATTTCTCACAGTTCTGAAGGCGGGGAAGACCCACCATCCGGTGCCAGCATACTTGGTTCTTGGTGAGGGCCCTCTTTCTCACTTGGAGATTGCTCCCTCCTAGCTGTGTTCCCACATGACCTTTCCCCTGTGAGTGCAAAGAGAGAGAGGTCTCTGGTGCCTCCTCTTTTTTTTTTCAGGCAGGGTCTCATTCTATCCCCCAGGCTGCAGTGCAGTGGTGCCATCTTGGCTCACTGCAGCCTTGACCTCCTGGGCTCAAGCGAGCCTACCACCTCAGCTTCCTTAGTAGTTTGGACTACAGGCGTGTGCCACCACGCCTGGCTAATTTTTTGCATTTTTTGTAGAGACCAAGTTTTGCCTTGCTGCCAAGGTTGGTCTCAAATTCCTGGGCTCAAGCAATCCTTCTGCCTTGGCCTCCCAAAGTGTTGGGATTACAGGCTTGAACCACCATGCCCAGCTTCTCTTTCTCTTCCTATGAGGATATCAGTTCTATCAAATTAGGTCCCCACACTATGAGCTCATTTAATCTAAATTACCTCTTTAAATGCTTTATCTCCAAATATGTCTCATTGGAGGTTAAGACTTCAATAATACAAATTTTAGGGGAACAATTCCATCCATAATGATGTGTAGTAAGTAAATTATTCATTGGTAACTTATGAGGAAGAAATAATCCTTATATATTTCTTCTAAAAAGAAAAAGTTCTAACTCATTGAAATGGTTATAAAAACACCTTGAGGTGTCCCTAGCATGCTCTTAAAAATGTCTTGGCAGGTCCACCTCCATGCAAGGAATCAAAGTAGTTAAGGAAAGGAGTGCAAGAGGGAAGCAAAGGAGAAAAACGTGTGCAGCTCATCCTCCCTCCATGCCCTGGCGGCAATAAAGGAGAAGTATCTGAATGAATGGATTCTAACACAAATGGCAGAGATCGTCTAAAATTTAGAGTTAAGGCTAAGTTCATCTAATTACCAAGACACTTCAGAATTATTTTTAAAAAACAGAAGTTTATTTCTCTCCCACAAAATTGTGTAACCTGAAATTTGGTGAACTACAGACCATAAGCCAAGTATGACCTGCATAACCTGTGAGCTGAAAATGACTTTTGTGGCTGGGTGCGGTGGCGCACGCCTGTAATCCCAGCTACTTGGGAGGCTGAGGCAGGAGAATTGCTTGAACCTGGGAGACAGAGGTTGCAGTGAGCCAAGATCGCGCCACTGCGCTCCAGCCTGGGCTACAAGAGTGAGAGACTCCGTCTCAAACAAACAAACAAAAAAAGACTTTTCTATTTTTTAAATTTGGGGGAAAAAAAAACAAGGCTGCTTTGTAACACATGGAAATGATATGAAATTCAAATTTCTGTGTTCACCAATAAAGTTTTATTGGAACACAACCACACTCATGCATTTACACATTGTCTATGGTTGCTTTTGCCTCACAAGGGCAGATAAGAGGAGTTGTGAGCAACACTGAATGGCCCACAAAGGCTGATATGTACCCTCTGACCCTTAATAAGAAAAGTTTGCTGACTTTTGTTGTAACCAGCTCAGGCCGATGGGGCAGCTCTGCCCCAGGAAGTCAGCCAGAGGCCCTAGCTGCTCACCAACGCTTCCTCAACTTAAACCCAGGATTCTAAGGTTGCTCAGCCGTCAGTGTTTCTAAGTATCAGAAGTGTGGGCCTGGCGTGCATTACTTAGTAAGGTGAGACTGTGAGGTGAAGTTCACAGCAGAGAACCTTATTGCATGGTGTCATCTCATTGTGAGGGACAGAGGCGAATGCGGTCTCTAGTGCGGAGGTCAAGTACCCAGGGCCAGCTCCATTTCTGACAGAAGGAGAAGCTGTGCTGCCACTCTCTGGGCTGGCTCTCAGGGCACCCTGACTCTCGGTTCCGACCCTGAACTTGTCTCCATACACCAACGTTTTTCCTCACAAAGGACGGAATGAAGAGAGACATAAACTAAAATCGAAAAATGTGTTTTATTGTTGATTTACAAACATTACTTGCCAGGTGTGGCAGCTCACACCTGTAATCCCAGGACTTTGGGAAGCTGAGACGGGCAGATCACTTGAGGTCAGGAGTTTGAGACCAGCCTGGCCAACATGGTGAAACCCCATCTCTACTAAAAATAAAAAAATTAGCCAGGGGGTAGTGGCGGGCACCTGTAATTCCAGCTACTCGGGAAGCTGAGGCAGGAGAATCACTTGAACCTGGGAGGCGGAGGTTGCAGTGAGCTGAGATTGCACCATTGCACTCCAGCCTGGGCGACAGAGCAAAACTCTGTCCCCCCAAAAAATAAAAAACAAAAAACAAACTAACAAAAAAACTGCATTTTTCCTGAAAACACTCTTACTAGGTAAACTGAGATTAATGTATCTTTTAATACACCTTCACAGACTTAAGAAACTAGCTCTAAAAATTACATTTTTTTAAAAAGTGTTCTTTGTTTTATAATTGTGAAAGAAAAATTAATCTCGAGTAAACCAAAAATAAAATCTAAGGTCGTCCCAACCATCTGAATGGACTTCCTTGTCAGCCAGGGCACTCTTGAAATTTAACCTGAGACTGGTTCAGGCCATGGTGGGGAGTCTGGTCACACATGCCTCATTCTACCTCTCCAGCACTAACAGCAACACAGACTTCAAGTCTGATGTCTGATAAGAAACATTTTGCAACCTATTCTCTCTGAAGCCTGCTGCCTGAAGGCTTCCCCCGCAAATAAGAACTTTGGTCTCCACAAGCCTTTATCTTAACCCAGACATTCCTTTCTATTGATCCCAGGTCTTTAGATAAACTCGACAGTCAACCAGAAAATGTTTTACTCTACCTATAAGCTGGAAGTCCCTGCTTCAAGTTGTCGCACCTTTCTGGACCAAACCAATGCATTTCCTAAATGTATCTGATGGAAGCCTCGTGCCTCCCTGAAGTGTAGAAAGCCAAGCTGGCCCCGACCACCTTGGGCACATGTTCTCAGAACCTCCTGAGGGCTGTGTCATGGGCCATGGGCACTTGAATTTGGCTCAGAATAAATCTCTTCAAATATTTTACAGAGTTTGACTCTTTGTCAATACTCAGCACCCCAAACTCACTAAGCCAAAGGGAAAAGTCAAGGTGAAAACTGGGTCCTGCAAACCTGCCTCCCATTTTAGTTCCTAAAAGATGGCTACAAAGATCAAAAGCTACATACTTCCCTCACATTTTGCCCTTAAGGAAATTCCTTGTGGTCCCGAGATCTAAACATTTCTGTTAAAATTCACCAGGGCAATGTAAATCGACAGCTCGTTTTCACAGATGTGGGGACACATTACGTAACTCAGTTGTCCCTCTGCCCAGCAGAGACAAATGCATATCTGTTTGTTTCCTCTGCCCTATTGTCTACCTTATCTTATGGAAAAATACAGATTCGGCTGAGCACGGTGTGCCTGTAATCCCAGCACTTTGGGAGGCCGAGGAGGGAGGATCACAAGGCCAAGAGATGGAGATCATCCTGGCCAACATGGTGAAACCCCATCTCTACTAAAAACACAAAAATTAGCCGGGTGTGGTGGTGTATGCCTGTGATTCCAGCTACTCAGGAGACTGAGGCAGGAGAATCGCTTGAACCCAGGAGATGGAGTTTGCAGTGAGCCAAGATCGCACCACTGCACTCCAGCCTGGCGACAGAGACAGAGGAAGACTCCATCTCAATTAGAAAAAAAAAAAAAAAAAAAAGCAGATTCACTGAACCAGGCAAAGGCACGAATGGCTATTTTCCCCTGCTGCCCCCTCACATGAGAATTGTGTATTTCTCAATATCCCATCCTTCCCCCTTTAAATATTGAAGCCCTCAAAATCCTCTTTGAAGAACGGCATAGACCTGTCTCCCAGGTACATGTCCTTAACTTTGGCAGGTAAATCTCCTAAAATAATTGAGACTTTCCTTAGAAATTTTCCTTGATTGACAATGCTAACTGATATCTCACAGTTTTTCATCAACTGAGAAGCTTCTTCCATTTCCCAACTGCTTCTATGCAACTATTCAATCTGAGAGTTCACCCTGTAGAAAGATACAAAGATTATTAAAGCAAAACTGTTTAATTAGTTTATGCCTCCACAGGATTCTGCAGGATAAGAGCTGGGCTCATTGTCTTCATTCCACTTCCAGGCTGGCTTTAGTTCCTACTGGACTAGAAATATTAATAATCTTATTTTTCTTGATAATTCTCATTTGTTATGCATTATTCAAACACATGCTTAAGTTTGACTTAATATGGACACTAAATGGAATCGCACACCAGAGAGTTACATTCCCTTGCTATTGAGCCACACAAAACCAAAATAATTGAGAACACATCTACCATTAAAACAATCCCTGTAGTTACAGTCAAGGGTAAATTATTATTAATTTATATTTCACATTACCTAGATTAGCCCAGAGTAAGGTTAGCCATATTCCTCTACAGAGCATTAGCTTTAGCTGCTTTGTGATTCCTGTTCTGACTTCTTAGAGAATAATCTAGAATTCATATCCTTCAACTTAGAAACTGAGTGTCCACGTCGATTGTTTGCAGAGACTAAGGGAAGACACTCAGTTACTGCTTTGCAAGGAAAAGAGCAATAGAATGTAAATTTTTTAAATCCCCTCATCCAAAAATATTCTTCTTTGTAATCAAGCTGATGTGAAACAACACAATTTGGAAAATAGAAATAGAATCAGAGATCTAGGGTGGGCGTGGTGGCTCACGCCTGTAATCCCCACACTTTGGGAGGCTGAGGCAGGTGGGTCATGAGGTCAGGAGATCGAGACCATCTGGCTAACACGGTGAAACCCCGTCCCTACTAAAACTACAAAAAATTAGACAGGCGTGGTGGCAGGAGCCTGTAGTCCCAGCTACTCAGGAGGCTGAGGCAGGAGAATTGTGTGAACCCAGGAGGCGGAGCTTGCAGTGAGCCGAGATGGCGCCACTGCACTCCAGCCTGGGCGACAGAGCGAGACTCCGTCTCAAAAAAAAAAAAAAAAAAACGAATGCTAGAGTTCTAAAATATGAATGCAGGAGATTATCTTAGAGATGATCTAGTCCTAGGGCTGGTAAAGTGCACTCTGCAGGTGACATCTCCCCTTGCCCATTTTTCTACAGGTTGTCTGTGACAGCTTTCACACTACAGCAGCAGAGTTGAGCAGCTGCAACAAAGACCAAGACCGTATGGTGTGCGAAGCGGGAAGACAGGTACTACCTGTCTCTTTACAGAAAATGCTTGCCACTGATTAAGGCCACCTCCTCTCATAAGGTACATGTGGCTATGGGTTCAGGAGAGGGCAACAGGATGAAGTAAGAAATAGATTCTGCATCTCTTGTCTCACAGGCGAGAGCCTCAAAAAATAAAAATTTTAAGTGAAATTCATTTCCCTATTATTAATAATGCAATATCAGTCTAAGCTCTACTCAGACCAATTACTCACTGCCCCTCAAAATGCAGGTCCTACACTTTAATGATTCTGGCACTGCTCAGGGGCTTCTATGTGAAGTGTCATTTTCTCTTACCTGTCTAGAAACGCCTACTTCTTCTGTAAGACCCAATTTGGATGTCATAGCATCTCAGGAGCTTTCCTTGATCTCCCTGAGCAGAAATAATGGCTTTCATCTCTTTTCTTATAGGAACTTATGTGTGCCTTTTAAAAACATGGTGTCATCCTAGCATACTCAAGAAACAATGGGTCATGCCAGTAAATAGTACATCTATAAATGGTTAAAGCAGTAAATTTTATGTTATGTATACTTCATCATAATTTTTTAAAGGAGAAGAAAAAAAGAAAGAATGGGCTTCATTCATGTACCATTCTGGGATTCTCGTGTGCATATTGTGGGGAACAGTTTTAACAGCAAATGTCATTAGTGTCTGCCCTATTCAGGAATCTTTCTGCAACCTTACATGAATATGCTGAATGTGTTTTTTTTTCTCAAAAATATATGCTAGTTGAGAATTATGTTAAGCATTGTTCTGTTCTGGTGTTAACTGTCATCTGATCCTTAGCAAAAATAAGCTGTTTACAATATATATTTGTCCAGATCTCATTTTCCTCCATCATCCTAATAGTCTCTGTTGATCACTGATCTTTATTTGCATCTGTGCTGATGGATGCCCGCTCTAAAGCTTGTCTGTTGGAGTAAGGATCCTTAGGTGCCTTGCTTCAGGGATGATACAGCAATCACAGACTCATTTTCCCTGTCTGCAGTTGGCTGAAGTTCAGACTTAGAAAAAAGAAAAGATTAATTATAAGATAACCAACCCTGGCTATTTTTGTTTTCATGGGTAAGTTTGAACAAGTACAAAAGCATAATTCTTCTGCATTTCTCTAAATTCTTCCTGCTGACAGAGATGGAATATTGGTGTTACTGAAACACCAGGGGTTCCATCTAGGTCCTGCTGCTCACTGCACAGAAAGCTCATCACTGATGTGATGAGTACTGATGTGATGAGTACTGATGTGATGAGTATTGATGCGATGAGTACTGATGCGATGAGTACTGATGTGATGAGTACTGATACGATGAGTACTGATACGATGAGTACTGATGCGATGAGTATTGATGCGATGAGTACTGATGTGATGAGTACTGATACGATGAGTACTGATACGATGAGTACTGATATGATGAGTACTGATGCGATGAGTACTGATATGATGAGTACTGATACGATGAGTACTGATACGATGAGTACTGATGTGATGAGTATTGATGCGATGAGTACTGATGTGATGAGTACTGATACGATGAGTACTGATACGATGAGTATTGCCAAAGAAGAAGGCTTTCATCAGGTGCTGCAGCCAAGGAGCTGCTCCCAGGCTAACGTAATGTAAACATTTGAATGTTTATCTCTTTTGCATAAATTGGCTTAACTTTTTAAAAAGGAATTTGACTAAATTTATCAAAAGCTCTAAATATATTTAGTGATTTAACTTCTGAAAAATCTATCTAAAGTACAGTGTTTAAAAGACTTTATGTGCAAGTTGTTCAGCTTGGTATTGTTTATAATAGCAAAACATGGGAGACCATTAAATGTTAAATATGCTTCAAGAGTTAAATAATTTATGGTACATTTACTTGATAAATTATTAGAATCAGTTAATCATATACTTAGGTTTAAAGTAGCTTGGAAGCAGAATTAAATTTATATTAAATATAAATATAATATATTATAACCACAAATATTAACACAAAGAAAACAAAAAGAACAGAAAGAACAACAGAGAATGAAAAGAAAAAGAACACCGAAGAGGATCTCACAAAAATACTGAGAGGCTTTCTTTAAATCATATCAATACTGTGGTTTTCTTTCTTTCTTTCATTGTTTTCAAATTTATTCTAATCATCTTTATTACATATATAATGGGGAAGATAAAATTTTTAAATATGTTGAATTATTTTCAAATTAATTACTGAAGTAGCTTTAAGTTATTGTTTAGATATTTGACAATTTAATATTTTGCTAAAGATCAATTATTTGAATAGCTGGTTGTTTCTGTAGTTTGCCAGGTATGTACTAATTAGATCAACTTTTGGAAATGTTACATAACCTTTTTCTGAAACTCAGTTTCCTGGTATGTAAAATGGTAACAGTAACTGCCTCACAGGGATTTTGTGAGGTTTTTGAGGAGATAACACAGATAACACTGAAAGCTGCTACTCTAGAATGTTAGTTCTTTTCTCCCTGCAGGAATATCTTTCTGACATCTGATAGCACAAACCACCATCACAGTCTTCAGTTGAGTTATCTACCTTATAGCCTCTTTGATTTAAGTTGGAAAAATTAACAATGTTGCATGAGACAGTGTATTGCATTTGCTTTACATTGAGGTAAAATGCACTCGTAAAAATAAGAAGTTTTTTATCTAGTCTTATGGAAATTGTGTGCTCTTGGGAAAGGTTTTAAATAGCCTTTGGAATGCAATACTTACACCTTTTCTAATAGGTTTCCAAATACCATTAAATGTGTTAGACTGTTGGAGAATAATGGTACAAGTACATTTTGGAAAAAATACGAGTCTTGTCAATATGCTAATTTTACAGGCATATTTCTACTTGACAACTGTGGGTATTATTTTAATTAGAGTCATACTTACATTCTAATATAAGAATTACTACTAAAAGCAGTCTTAATTCCCATCAAGAATAATTTGTTGTATTCTTTTTCTCTTTATTCTTGAATCCACACCACTGCAAATTATCTTGTCTCTTTTAATTAGTAGCCTAAAGCAGTCTTCTTGCTTTCTACTCTTCTGTGCTATTTATATCAATTATCTCTCTTTCTTCTTCAATTTTCCCTTCATTTAAACTTTGGTGTGATAAGACTTAAGAAAAAAATAATAATAAAAGAATTTTGCTGGTTTTAAATAAAAATCTATTCAGTATTATTTTCATTTATTTCCAAATAAATCTTAGTGAGAAACAATGAAAAAATAGGGAATAAACAAACCTAAATCATGGCTATTTTCTATCTATAACCTCGTGAAACTTCAGAATGATGATAATTTAGTCTAAATTGTTTTATATTTTGCCATCTTCCCTATATAATTCCAATTCAGTATACTTACGTTATATATGTAAAATAATCTTTTTAAAAGAATATTCCCTCTCTTAAGCCATTAGCATAGCATCATAATACATTTACATGCACAGCTCGGCATATTCAAATCTCAGTTTTTTTGGTAAACTAATCATTGAACAGGTGCAACTAAATATCTCTACAATTTTTTCTCTTATTGTTTTGTAAATACATACTATTTAATTAAGGTAATCTATTAAATTTATTTCTGATATTAGTCACTACTAATAATTTAGAGCAATATTCAATGATTACAAATATATAATACGTGTCTTGGCAACAACTTATACATATATTGTGCCAATTTCCCGATTTAAAAAACAAACCTACTGGCATAATTAGGCCTGATGATTAATTTATATGCCAAATGTGTCAATTTTACTGAAACCTCCACTTGAACATATCACTTTGGAGGAAAATTTAACTGAAATGTTAATAGAAAGGGACATTTAGTAGTGCTATTATGTGAGTTAAGTCTGTAAAATACAGATATTAAATGTCTCCCTATAATGGAAATTTGTGAATTTACTTCGCCACTATAAGACATTTCAGGTAGTCACTTGATGGCAGCCAGCAGCATTGGTTTTTTGTCTGTGTGTTTATTTCTTACTGAGCTGACAAAAATGCCTTCTATTTGTTTATAGAAGTATTTATTTAACACACAATAATTTTATTTATTTTTTATTTCAATAGGTTTTTGGGGAACTGGTGGTACTTGGTTAAGTTCTTTGGTGGTGGACCAGGCGCAGTGGCTCACGCCTGTAATCTGGCACTTTGGGAGGCCGAGGCGGGTGGATCACCTGAGGTCAGCAATTCGAGACAAGCCTGGCCATCATGGAGAAACCCCGTCTCTACTAAAAATACAAAATTAGCCTGGCGTGGTGGCACATGCCTGTAATCCCAGCTACTCGGGAGGCTGAGGCAGGAGAATCGCTTGAACCCTGGAGGCAGAGGTTGCGGTGAGCCGAGATCGCACCATTGCACTCTAGCCTGGACGACAAGAGCGAAACTCCGTCTCAAAAAAGAAAAAAAAAGTTCTTTAGTGGTGATTTCCGAGATTTTGGTGCACCCATCACGCAAGCAGTGTACACTGTACCGGGTGTGTAGTCTTTTATCCCTTACCTCACTCTCACCCTTCCCCGAGCTCCAACCGAGTCCCCAAAGTCCACTGTATCATTCTTTTTTTTTTTTTTTTTTTTTGAGATAGTCTCCCTCTGTCACCCAGGCTGGAGTGCAATGGCACAACCTTGGCTCACTGCAACCTCTGCCTCCTGGCTTCAAGCAATTCTTCTGCCTCAGCCTCCCAAGTAGCTGGGACTACAGGCACCCATGACCACTCCCAGCTAATATTTGTATTTTTAGAAGAGACAGGGTTTCACTATGTTGGTCAGGCTGGTCTCGAACTCCTGATCTCAGGTGATCTGCCTGCCTTGGCCTCCCAAACTGCTGGGATTACAGGCATGAACCACCAGGCCCAGCCCCACTGTATCATTCTTATACCTTTATATCCTCATAGCTTAGCTCCCACTTACTAGTGAGAACATACAATGTTTGGTTTGCCATTCCTGAGCTACTTCACTTAGAATAATGGTCTCCATTTCCATACAGGTCACTATGAATGCCATTATTTTGTTCCTTTTTATGGCTGAGTAGTATTTCATGGTGTATACATATACCACAATTTCTTTATCTTCTCGTTGGCTGATGGGCATTTGGACTGGTTCCATATCTTTGCAATTGTGAATTGCGCTGCTATAAACATGTGTGTACAAGTATCTTTTTTCCTATAATGACTTCTTTTCCTCTGGATAGATACACAGTAGTGGGATTGCTGGGTCAAACGGTAGTTCTACTTTTAATTCTTTAAGGAATCACCATACTTTCCCATACTGGTTGTACTTGTTTACATTCCCACCAGCAGTGTGAAAGTGTTCCCTTTTCATCACTTTCACACCAACATTTATTATTTTTTTATTTTTTGTGGCCATTCTTGTGGGAGTAAGGTAGTACCACATTGTAGGTTTAATTTGTATTTTCCTGATCATTAGTGATACTGAGCATTTTTTCATGTTTGTTGGCAATTTGTATGTCTTCTTTTGAGAATTGTCTATTCATGTCCTTAGCCCACTTTTTGATGAGATTGTTTGTTTTTTTCTTGTTGATTTGTTTGAGTTCCTCCTAAATTCTGGATATTAGTATTTTGTCAAATATATAGATTGCAAAGATTTTCTCCCACTTTGTGGGTTGTCTGTTTACTCTGCTGATTGCTTCTTTTGTTGTGCAGAAGACTTTTAGTTTAATTAAGTACCATCTGTTTATCTTTGTTTTTGTTTCATTTGCTTTTGGGTTCTTGGTCATAAAGTCTTTGCCTAAGTCAGTGTCTAAAAGGGTTTTTCTAATGTTATCTTCTAGAATTGTTATGGTTTCAAGTCTTAGATTTAAGTCTTTGATCCATCTTGAGTAATTTTTGTATAAGGTGAGAGATGAGGATCCAATTTCATTCTTTTACCTGTGGCTTGCCAATTATTCCAGCACCATTTGTTGAATAGGGTGTCCTTTTCTCACTTTATGTTTTTGTTTGCTTTCTTGAAAATTGGTTAGCTATAAGTATTTGGCTTTATTTCTGAGTTCTCTATTGTGTTCCATTGGTCTATGTGCCTATTTTCACACCAGTACTATGCTCTTTTGGTGTCTGTGGACTTATAGTATAGTTTGAAGTCAGGTACTGTAGTGTCACCAGATTTGTTCTCTTTGCTTAATCTTGCTTTGGATATGCAGGCCCTTTTTTGGTTCCATATGAAATTTATGATTTTTTTTCTAGTTCTGTGAAGAATGATGGTGGTATTTTGATGGGAGTTGCATTGAATTTGTATATTGCTTTTGGCAGATGGTCATTTTTACAATATTGATTCTACCCAACCATGAGCATGGGATGTGTCTCCATTTGTTTGTGTTCTCTATGAGTTCATTCAGCAATGTTTTGTAGTTTTCTTTGTAGAGATCTTTCATCTCCCTGGTTAGGTATATTCCTAAGTATTTTTTTTTTTACAGCTATTGTAAAAAGGATTGAGTTATTGATTTGATTCTCAGCTTGGTCACTGTTGGTGTGTAGCAGAGCTACTAATTTGTGCGTATTAATTTTGTATCCTGAAACTTTGCTGAATTTTTTTCTATCAGTTCTGGGAGATTTTTTGAGGCGTCTTTATAGTATTCTAGGTATACAATCGTACTATCAGCAAACAGTGAAAGTTTGACTTCCTCTTTACTGATTTGGATGCCCTTTATTTCTTTCTCTTGTCTGATTTGTCTGGCTAGGACTTTCAGTACCATGTTGAATAGAAGAGGTAAGAGTGGGCATCCTTGTCTTATTCTAGTTCTCAGGGGGAATGCTTTCAGCTTTTCCCCATTCAGAATAATGTTGGCAGTGGGTTTGTCATAGATTACTTTTATTACATTAAAGTATGTCCCTTCTATGCCAATTTTGCTGAGTGTTTTAATCATAAAGGGTTGCTGGGTTTTGTCAAATGCTTTCTCTGCATCTATTGAGATGATCGTATGATTTTTGTTTTTAATTCTGTTTATGTGATGTATGACTTTTTTTTTCTTTTTCTGAGACAGAGCCTTGCTCTGTTGCCCAGGCTGGAGTGCAGTGGCGCAATCTCAGCTCACTGCAAGTTGCGCCTCCCAGGTTCACGCCGTTCTCCTGCCTCAGCCTCCTGAGTAGCTGGGACTACAGGCGCCCGCCATCACGCCCAGCTAATTTTTTGTATTTTTAGTAGAGACGGGGTTTCACTGTGTTAGCCAGGATGGTCTCGATCTCCTGACCTCGTGATCTGCCCGCCTTGGCCTCCGAAAGTGCTGGGATTACAGGCATGAGCCATTGCGCCCGGCCGACATTTATTGACTTGTGTATGTTAAACCACCCCTGCATCCCTGGTATGAAACCCACTTGATCATGGTTTCATAATCATGAATTATCTTTTTGATATGCTATTGGATTCTGTTAGATAGTATTTTGTCAAGAATGTTTGCATCTATGCTCATCAGGGATATTGGTCTGTAGCTTTTTTTGTTGTTATGTCCTTTCCTGGTTTTGATATTAGGGTGATGTTGGCTTCATAGAATAATTTAGAGGGGATTCCCTCTTTCTCTGTCTTGTGGAATAGTGTCAATAGCGTTGGTACCAGTTCTTACTTGGATGTCTGATAGAATTCAGCTGTGAATCCATCTGGTCCTGGACTTTCTTTTTGTTGGCAATTTTTTTTTTAATGTCAAATACTTTTTTTTTTTTTTTGCTTTAAGTTCTGGGATGCCTGTGCAGAACATACAGGTTTGTTACATAGGTATACAAGTGCCGTGGTGGTTTGCTGCACCTATCAACCTATCAACCCGTCATCTAGGTTTTAAGCCCCGCATGCATTAGGTATTTGTCCTAATGCTCCCCTCCCCTTGTCCCCCATGCCCCCGACAGGCCCTGGGGCAATTTTTTTTTTTTTTTTGAGATGGTGTCTCACTCTGCCGCCCACGCTGGAGCGCAGTGGTGTGATCTCGGCTCACTGCAACCTCCGCCTCCTGGCAAATTTTTTTATTACTATTTCAATCTCGCTGCTTGTTGTTGGTCTGTTCAGAGTTTCTGTTTCTTCCTGGTTAATCTAGGAGGGTTGTGTATTTCCAGGAATTTATCCATCTCCTTTAGGTTTCCTAGTTTATGCACATAAAGGTGTTCATAGTAGCCTTGAATTATCTTTTGTATTTTTGTGATATTGGCAACATTCAATAATTAATTTTATGATACCCAGTTTCTCTTTCAACATTCAGATACTTTTTTTCTAATCTAATCACCTTCTATAGAAAGCAGGAGTGTCCAGAAGTAGAGATTAACTGTGAGCAGAATAGACATTTTCATCACATACAGAAACATCAGTGTTACACATTTGTTTGGCAGTTAAATTTCCAACACATGGAGGCTGGTGATGGTCTTCATCAATGTGGGATTGTCAGTCTTCCTTTGGTACACGTATTTGCTCCCAGATATCATAATTTAATGACCATTCATACATATCCTTAGCTTCCAGGAGGACCTTTACAACATACCATTCATACGTATCCTTAGCTTCTAAGAAGGCCTTTACAACACTGTGGGTTTAGTTCTTTGAGATGTTGGTAACCCCTTTGAAAATCTAATGAAAGCTACGATACCTTTTTTAGGAAAAATAATGTGTGTGTGTGTGTGATGCACACTTGAAGCTCATTAGTGGAACCCCACCACAGGCACTCAACAACGTTTCCTGAGGAACCTTTTAAAATCTCTTTCTTAAATATCCTTCAGTGGTTGTGACTCTTAAGACCTAGTCTTTGATTATGTGTATATCACTGCTCTTGAAGCTCCCAAAGACCTGGCTATTGGTTTTGGTATTTTCTGACTCCCACTGTGTCTTTTCACTTGATGACTTCCTTTTGCTCCTCCTGCTCCACCTTCTCAACTGGGTTCTGAGCCTCTGGCTTCTAACCCTCTTCCTGCAAGCCCTGAGCCTGGATTTCCATTTAGTCCTGAAGCTCCTATGTAATAAACTTGTTTCTGCTTTCTTGGAACCATTTACTCAGAATAATATTGAGAGATGCTACTTTAAAAAAGTTTGTTCTTTTCTTCCTACAAGAATATCTTTCTGACATCTGATAGCACAAACCCCCATCATAGTCTTCAATTGAGCTGTCTACCTTATAGTACCTGACTAGAGTTGGAAACACTGACAATGTTTGTGCGCTAGCATATTGCCTTGTGTCATTTCTCCATGCACTGTTAGGAATGCTCTAACGTGGTCACTTTTTCTTGCAAGCCAATATTGCAGAGGACCCCACTGTACAAAAACCCAACATCTTGAATGTTGAAAGGAGAAACAGAACTCAGTAATCTTTTGAAAGTATATTAATTTGTGTAGTTAAAATACAGTAGATGCAGAAATTTATATAAATGAAAGTTAGACAGCAATTAGTAATAGAAATTTACATATAATCCCAAAGTTATATGAGACAATTATTCCTCCACTGCCCATATTTCTTTGTAGAGAATGCCATACAATAATGTCATTTTCTTCTACTTTTCTTACATCACCTTTTGGCATTCCTTAATGACCATATGCACAGAAGGTAGACATCAAGGAAAATAAGAGGAAGAAAATTGAAAAGTCGTCATCACCCATAGCTGAAAAGTGTTTTCTAAGGGCGAGTTCACCATGGTGAGTTGAGTGCAGTTAAAATCCCGATTACCTGAAATACTTCAGTTATGCTGTTATCTTCTCCTTGAATAGTCTGTTAACCATGTGTTAACCAAAGGCCCCACCCTGTTTTTTTGTTTTCTAATCTTATTGAAATGTCTTTCCCATAGTCCCTGCTGCTAATGGAGCAAAGAACACACTAAATCTGCAGTGGTCGAGGGCAGGTCATCATCTGGGCATCGGAAACCACCATGTCTTGTGGCAAATGTAACCACCATCAAACTCCTCCATGAAATTTGTAGATTGTTTCTGTTTGCTGATAAGTCCCTACTGAGAATGTATTATGACATCCATTTTTCCTATTTTCCATTAAAGTAGAATCCTCAAAGTCAAATGATTAAAAATTATTATATAGAGAAATTGGTATGTTTAAGTTATCGAAAAAGAAGCATAGTAAAGTGGCCAGGCTTTAAACATTTTAGATAAAATAACTTTTTGCTCAATTATATAATTAATGGAAGAGGGAACACTTTTGAATGTACATGAGATGTTGGTTACTTTTTAATAAACTTAATCAGAATTGAATTGCTATCAACACTCATAATAATTCTTACAAAGGCCTGAAGAGGAATGGTGTTTCCAATTGCAAAGCATTTGAGCTGGAGTGAGTGTGTGTGTGTGTGTGTGAGTGTGTGTGTGTGTGTGTGTGTGCGCGTGTGCATGCCCACTGCCTAGCTCCTCAGGGTGGGAGTCAAACCAAATTTCCAACGTTGTTATTAATGACAAATACAGAAAACAGCAGCAGGTTAATGATATTTTCAGCCATGACCAAGTTAGAAAGCATAAACTCATCAGAGAACAGAAGAAAAATTCAAAAGAGTTGAATTGAAGAGTGTATGATAATGAAGAGGAAATAACTAAATGAATTTCCATGGAAAATCCTGAGCTTAAGCTTCTAGAGAGCACTAGAGAGGGGGAGGATGTAATCATAAGGAATTCAGCTATTCAGCAGCTGGAGAAATGAAAAAATAGGACAGTCCAATGCAAACTGAGGATTATAACAGACACCAACTGCATAACAGTTTTCGATTGTTTCGGCAGCCAAAAAAGGCCAAAGCTGACTGAAGCAGAATACCAAGAGATGCATTTCAACCTTGAATAAAGAAATCAGGTCTTGTTAAGGGAGTCCCTTGGCTTGTCAGGAGAGTAGCTAGACATCTGAGAGCTAGATGATTAATTTCTATTAAAATCACAAGTGAAATTGATAAATTAAGAGCCAGAAATCTAGGAATCTCTAACCTACATCTGTTCAACTGTCAAGGCCTGTTGATTTTCCTCACTAAATATCTCTCACGTCTACTTGTCTTTCACCTTATGTCACCATCCTAGTCCAAACCACCATCATGCCTCACACAGACAACACAAGAGCCTCCTAAATGGCATCCCACAGCCACCTCCTTCTCCTGATTTACTCTCCAAATGTTCATGAGAGGGGTATTTTAAAATGCAAACGGTTACAGCCAGAGTCTGCTGCTAGCCGGATCCACTGCCTTTGTATAAATTTTTAAAAGGCCCTTTCCTCAAGACAATTTACTTCCATCTGTCAAAAAATTGTCAGAAGATACTTATTTTGTTAGAACAAGCCATTTTATCTCCATCTACCAGAAAACCACTCTAATAAATATATAAATATCAGATGTCCACAATGTGAGTAGCACTCACTTAAATGAGGTACTCTTCTTCATGCATCCCAGGTACCATCCTGTGTACAATAAGGTGTTGTAACATGCATGTTGTAATGTGTGTGGTAACATGCAGCAGCCCTGCGTGTCACTCCCATGATGAAAACTTTCAATAGCATCTGTTTTTCCCCAAGTTAAAGGCTTGAAACTAATGTGTCCTGTAAGGCTGTAGACTGTTCTCTGCCTGTGCTGTTCTGTCTGAGATGTCTTCTCCAACCCCACCCCTGCTGGCTTTGCTATCTCTTGCTCATGCTCCATTTTCCCAGTGTGAAGGCCATTTCCTTTAGGGTGCCTGTCCTGAAGACTGGATTAGGGACACCTGAGTCCTCTTTGTACCTCAGAGCATCACAGTTTCTTATCCAATGCTCAATTGGTAGAACGAAGGCTGCCCGAGAGCAGACAAACCTGCCAGGCTGGTTCACTGCTTGGCAGTTCTTCACCCAGTGATTCGCATACAGTAGGTGTTTAATGCATATCTGTAGAATGTGTAAATGAAAGTTGAAAATATGTTAGCGCTGCATAAGTAGGCATCTATTGAATTGAGAATTATAATGAAAAATATTTTAAAGAGAATAAAAATCAAAGGAA